>NT_187401.1:0-4416 GCF_000001405.40 Homo sapiens
GGCATTCACTTAGAGAGTTGAACCGTCCCTTGTGAGTTCAGGTTGAAACACTCTTTTCGTAGTATCTGCAAGTGGAGATTTGGAACGCTTTGTGGCCTACGGTAGTAAAGGAAATAGCTTCGAGTAAAAACTGGACAGAAGCATTCTCAGAAAATACTTTGTGATGATTGAGTGTAACTCACAGAGCTGAACATTCCTTTGGATGGAGCAGTTTTGAAACACACTTTTTGTAGCATCTGCAAGTGGATATTTGGACCTCTCTGAGGATTTCGTTGGAAACGGGATAACGTCACCTAACTAAACAGAAGCTTTCGCAGAAACTTCTTTGGGACGTTTGCATTCAAAGTCCAGAGTTGAACCTTCCTTCGATAGCTCACGTTTGAAACACTCTTTTTGTAGGATCTGCAGGTGGATATTTGGAGCACTTTGTGGCCTTCGTTCGAAACGGGTATATCTTCACATAAAATCCAGACAGAAGCCTTCTCAGAAACCTCTCTGTGATGATTGCATTCAACTCAGAGAGTTGAACATTCCTTTGGATAGAGCAGTTTCGAAAATCTGTTTCTCTAGAATCTGCTCATGGATAGGTGGAACTCTGTGAAGATTTCTTTGCAAACGGGAATATCTTCACATAAAGAGTAAACAGATGCCTTCTCAGAAACTTCTTTGTGAGGCATGTGTTCAACTCCCAGAGTTTAACCTTGCTTTTCATAGAACAGTTTTGAAACATTCTTTTCGTAGAGTCTCCAAGTGGACATTTGGAGCGCTTTCAGGCCTGTGGTGGAAAAGGAAATATCTTCACATAAAAACTAGAGAGAAGCATTGTCAGAAACTTCTTCTTTCTGATGACTGCATTCAACTCACGGATTGGAAGGCTCCTTTTGGTACAGCAGCTTGAAAACACTCTATCAGAGGGACCTGCAAGCGGATACTTGGAGCTCTTTGAAGATTTCGATGGGAAAGGGATAATCTTCCCATAAAAGCTAAATGGAAGCATGCTCAGAGACTTCTTTGTGATGTTTGCATTCAACTCCCAGAGTTGTACTTTCCTTTTGTTAGAGCAGCTTTGAAACCCTCTCTTTCTAGAATCTGTAAGTGGACATTTGGAGGGCTTCGAGGCCTGTGGTGGAAAAGGAAATATCTACTCATAAAAGCTAGATGGAAGCATTCTCCATTCTCCGAAACTACATTTTGATGATTCCTTTCAAGTCACAGAGTTGAACATTCAATTTGGTAGAGCCGTTTGGAAACACACTTTGGTAGAATCTGCAAGGGGAGATTTGGACCGCTTTGAAGCCTATGGCAGTAGAGGAAATCTCTGCCCATAAAAACTAGACAGTAGCATTCTCAGGAAACACTTTGTGACGATTGAGTTCAACTCACAGAGCTGAACATTCCTTTGGATGGAGCAGTTTCGAAACCCACTTTTCGTAGGATCTGCAAGTGGATATTTGGACTTCTCTAAGGATTTCGTTGGAAACGGGATAAACCTCACCTAACTAAACAGAAGCATTGTCAGGAACTTCTTCGTGATGTTGGCATTCAACTTAGAGTGTTGAATGGTCCCTTGTGAGTTCAGGTTGAAACTCTCTTTTCGTAGTATCTGCAAGTGGAGATTTGGAACGCTTTGTGGCCTACGGTAGTAAAGGAAATAGCTTCGAGTAAAAACTGGACAGAAGCATTCTCAGGAAATACTTTGTGATGATTGAGTGTAACTCACAGAGATGAACATTCCTTTGGATGGAGCAGTTTTGAAACACACTTTTTGTAGCATCTGCAAGTGGATATTTGGACCTCTCTGAGGATTTCGTTGGAACCGGGTAACGTCACCTAACTAAACAGAAGCTTTTGCAGAAACATCTTTGGGATATTTGCATTCAAAGTCCAGAGTTGAAACTTCCTTCGATAGCTCACGTTTGAAACACTCTTTTTGTAGGATCTGCAAGTGGATATTTGGAGCACTTTGTGGCCTTCATTCGAAACGGGTATATCTTCACATAAAATCCAGACAGAAGCCTTCTCAGAAACCTCTCTGTGATGATTGCATTCAACTCAGAGAGTTGAACATTCCTTTGGATATAGCAGTTTCGAAACTCTGTTTCTCTAGGATCTGCACATGGATAGGTGGAACTCTGTGAAGATTTCTTTGCAAAAGGGAATATCTTCACATAAAGAGTAAACAGATGCCTTCTCAGAAACTTCTTTGTGAGGCATGTGTTCAACTCCCAGAGTTTAACCTAGCTTTTCATAGAACAGTTTTGAAACATTCTTTTCGTAGAGTCTCCAAGTGGACATTTGGAGCGCTTTCAGGCCTGTGGTGGGAAAGGAAATATCTTCACATAAAAACTAGAGAGAAGCATTGTCAGAAACTTCTTCTTTGTGATGACTGCATTCAACTCACGGAGTGGAAGGCTCCTTTTGATACAGCCGCTTGGAAACACTCTATCAGAGGGACCTGCAAGCGGATACTTGGAGCTCTTGGAAGATTTCGATGGAAAAGGGATAATCTTCCCATAAAAGCTAAATGGAAGCATGCTCAGAGACTTCTTTGTGATGTTTGCATTCAACTCCCAGTGTTGTACTTTCCTTTTGATAGAGCAGCTTTGAAACCCTCTCTCTCTAGAATCTGCAAGTGGACATTGGGAGGGCTTCGAGGCCTGTGGTAGAAAAGGAAATATCTACTCATAAAAGATAGATGGAAGCATTCTCCGAAACTACATTTTGATGATTCCTTTCAAGTCACAGAGTTGAACATTCCCTTTGGTAGAGCCGTTTGGAAACACACTTTTGGTAGAATCTGCAAGGGGAGATTTGGACCGCTTTGAAGCCTATGGCAGTAGAGGAAATCACTGCCCATAAAAACTAGACAGTAGCATTCTCAGGAAACACTTTGTGACGATTGAGTTCAACTCACAGAGCTGAACATTCCTTTGGATGGAGCAGTTTCGAAACACACTTTTTGTAGGATCTGCAAGTAGATATTGCACTTCTCTAGATTTTCGTTGAAACGGGATAACCCTCACCTAATTAAACAGAAGCATGTCAGGGAACTTCTTCATGATGTGGCATTCAACTCACAGAGTTGCACCGTCCCTTGTGAGTTCAGGTTGAAACACTCTTTTCGTAGTATCTGCAAGTGGAGATTTGGAACGCTTTGTGGCCTACGGTAGTAAAGGAAATAGCTTCGAGTAAAAACTGGACAGAAGCATTCTCAGAAAATACTTTGTGATGATTGAGTGTAACTCACAGAGCTGAACATTCCTTTGGATGGAGCAGTTTTGAAACACACTTTTTGTAGCATCTGCAAGTGGATATTTGGACCTCTCCGAGGATTTCGTTGGAAACTGGATAACGTCACCTAACTAAACAGAAGCTTTCGCAGAAACTTCTTTGGGACGTTTGCATTCAAAGTCCAGAGTTGAACCTTCCTTCGATAGCTCACATTTGAAACACCCTTTTTGTAGGATCTGTAAGTGGATATTTGGAGCAATTTGTGGCCTTCGTTCGAAAAGGGTATATCTTCACATAAAATCCAGACAGAAGCCTTCTCAGAAACCTCTCTGTGATGATTGCGTTCAACTCAGAGGGTTGAACATTCCTTTGGATAGATCAGTTGCGAAACTCTGTTTCTCTGGAATCTGCACATGGATAGGTGGAACTCTGTGAAGATTTCTTTGCAAACGGGAATATCTTCACATAAAGAGTAAACAGATGCCTTCTCAGAAACTTCTTTGTGAGGCATGTGTTCAACTCCCAGAGTTTAACCTTGCATTTCATAGAACAGTTTTGAAACATTCTTTTCGTAGAGTCTCCAAGTGGACATTTGGAGCGCTTTCAGGCCTGTGGTGGAAAAGGAAATATCTTCACATAAAAACTAGAGAGAAGCATTGACAGAAACTTCTTCTTTGTGATGACTGCATTCAACTCACGGAGTGGAAGGCTCCTTTTGATAGAGCAGCTTGGAAACACTCTTTCAGAGGGACCTGCAAGCGGATACTTGGACCTCTCTGAAGACTTTGATGGAAAAGGGATAATCTTCCCATAAAAGCTAAATGGAAGCATGCTCAGAGACTTCTTTGTGATGTTTGCATTCAACTCCCAGAGTTGTACTTTACTTTTGATAGAGCAGCTTTGAAACCCTCTCTTTGTAGAATCTGCAAGTGGACATTTGGAGGGTTTCGAGGCCTGTGGTGGAAAAGGAAATATCTACTCATAAAAGCTAGATGGAAGCATTCTCCGAAACTACATTTTGATGATTCCTTTCAAGTCACAGAGTTGAACATTCCCTTTGGTAGAGCCGTTTGGAAACACACTTTTGGTAGAATCTGCAAGGGGAGATTTGGACCGCTTTGAAGCCTATGGCAGTAGAGGAAATCACTGCCCATAAAAACTAGACAGTAGCATTCTCAGGAAACA
>NT_187402.1:0-1201 GCF_000001405.40 Homo sapiens
GAAGATATTTCCTTTTCTGCCATTGACCTGAAAGCGCTTGAAATCTACACTTGCCAATTGCACAAATAGAGTGTTTCAAATCTGCTCTGTCTAAGGGAACGTTCAACTCTGTGAGTTGAATGCACACAACACAAGGAAGTTACTGGGAATTCTTCTGTCTAGCCTTACATGAAAAATACCCGTTTCCAACGAAGGCCTCTAAGTGGTCAAAATATCCACGTGCAGACTTAACAAACAGAGTGTTTCCAAACCGCTGAATGAAAAGAAAAGTTAAACTCTGAGAGTTGAACGCACACATCACAAAGGAGATTCTGAGAATCATTCTGTCTAGTTTCTATAGGAAGATATTTCCTATTCTACCATTGACCTCAAAGCGGCTGAAATGTCCACTTGCAAATTCCACAAAGAGTGTTTCAAGTCTGCTCCCTCTAAAGGATCGTTCAACTCTGTGAGTGGAATACACACAACACAAGGAAGTTACTGAGAATTCTTCTGTCTAGCAGAATATGAAGAAAACCCGTTTCCAAAGAAGGCCTCAAAGAGGTCTGAATATCCACTTGCAGACTTTACAAACAGAGTGTTTCCTAACTGCGTTATGAAAAGAAAAGTTAAACTCTGTGAGTTGAACGCACACATCACAAAGGATTTTCTGAGAATCATTCTGTCTAGTCTTTATACGAAGATAGTTTCCTTTTCTACCATTGACCTCAAAGCGGCTGAAATCTCCACTTTCAAATTCCAAAAAAAGAGTGTTTCAAGTCTGCTCTGTGTAAAGGATCGTTCAACTCTGTGAGTTGAAAACACACAACACAAGGAAGTTACTGAGAATTCTTCTGTCTAGCAGAATATGAAGAAATCCCGTTTCCAACGAAGGCCTCAAGGAGGTCTGAATATCCACTTGCAGACTTTACAAACAGAGTGTTTCCTAACTGCTCTATGAAAAGAAAGGTTAAACTCTGTGAGTTGAACGCACACATCACAAAGGAGTTTATGAGAATCATTCTGTCTACTTTCTATAGGAAGATATTTCCTATTCTACCATTGACCTCAAAGCGGCTGAGATCACCACTTGCAAATTCCACAAAAAGAGTGTTTCAAGTCAGCTCTCTGTAAAGGATCGTTCAACTCTCTGAGTTGAATACACACAACACAAGGAAGTTACTGAGAATTATTCTGTCTAGCATAATATGAAGAAATCCCG
>NT_187403.1:0-1444 GCF_000001405.40 Homo sapiens
GTTCCTTAGACAGAGCAGATTTGAAACACTCTTTTTGTGCAATTGGCAAGTGGTGATTTCAGCCGCTTTGAGGTCAATGGTATAAAAGGAAATATCTTCGTATAAAAACTAGACAGAATGATTCTCAGAAACTTCATTGTGATGTGTGCGTTCAACTCACAGAGTTTAACCTTTCTTTTCATAGGGCAGTTAGAAAACACTCTGTTTCTAAACTGTGAAAGTGGATATTGAGACCTCTTTGAGGCCTTCGTTGGAAACGGGATTTCTTCATACTGTGCTAGACAGAAGAATTCTCAGTAACTTCCTTGTGTTGTGTGTATTCAACTCACAGAGTTGCACGATCCTTTACACAGAGCAGACTTGTAACACTCTTTTTGTGGAATTTGCAAGTGGAGATTTCAGCCGCTTTGAAGTCAAAGGTAGAAAAGGAAATATCTTCCTATAAAAACTAGACAGAATGATTCTCAGAAACTCCTTTGTGATGTGGGTGTTCAACTCACAGAGTTTAACTTTCTTTTCATAGAGTAGTTAGAAAACACTCTGGTTGAAATGACTGCAAGTGGATATTCAGACCTCTTTGAGGCCTTCGTTGGAAACGGGTTTTTTCCATAGAAGGCTAGACAGAAGAATTCCCAGTAACTTCCTTGTGTTGTGTGTATTCAACTCACAGAGTTGGACTTTCATTTACACAGAGCAGATTTGAAACACTCTTTTTGTGGTATTTGCAAGTGGAGATTTCAGCCGCTTTGACGTCAAAGATAGAAAAGGAAATATCTTCGTATAAAAACTAGACAGAATGATTCTCAGAAACTTCTTTGTGATGTGTGCGTTCAACTCACAGAGTTTAACCTTTCTTTTCATAGAGCAGTTAGGAAGCACTCTGTTTGTAAACTCTGCAAGTGGATATTCAGACGTCTTTGAGGCCTTCGTTGGAAACGGGATTTCTTCATATTAGGCCTGACAGAAGAATTCTCAGCAACTTCCTTGTGTTGTGTGTATTCAACTCACAGAGTTGAACGATCCTTTGAGCAGACTTGAAACACTCTTTTTGTGGAATTTGCAAATGGAGATTTCAGCCGCTTTGAGGTCAATGGTTGAAAAGGAAATAACTTCATACAAAAATTAGACAGAATGATTCTCAGAAACTCCTTTGTGATGTGGGTGTTCAACTCACAGAGTTTAACTTTCTATTCATAGAGCAGTTAGGAAACACTCTGTAAAGTCTGCAAGTGGATATTTTCACCTCTTTGAGGCCTTCTTTGGAAACGGGTTTTTTTTCATGTAAGGCTAGACAGAAGAATTCTCAGTAACTTCTTTGTGTTGTGTGTATTCAACTGACCGCATTGAACTTTCATTACACAGAGAGATTTGAACACTCTTTTTGTGAATTTGCAATTCGAGATTTCAAGCGCTTTGAGGCCAAAGGCAGAAAAGGAAATATCTT
>NT_187404.1:0-2276 GCF_000001405.40 Homo sapiens
TGTGTGTATTCACTCTGTGAGTTGAATCCTTTACACAGAGCAGACTTGAAACACTCTTTTTGTGGAATTTGCAAGTGGAGATTTCAGCCGCTTTGAAGTCAAAGGTAGAAAAGGAAATATCTTCGTATAAAAACTAGACAGAATGATTCTCAGAAACTCCTTTGTGATGTGTGCGTTCAACTCACAGAGTTTAACCTTTCTTTTAATAGAGCAGTTAGGAAACACTCTGTTTGTAAAGTCTGCAAGTGGATATTCAGACCTCTTTGAGGCCTTCGTTGGAAACGGGTTTTTTTCATATAAGGCTAGACAGAAGAATTCCCAGTAACTTCCTTGTGTTTTGTGTATTCAACTGACAGAGTTGAACTTTCATTTACACAGAGCAGATTTGAAACACTCTTTTTGTGGTATTTGCAAGTGGAGATTTCAGCCGCTTTGATGTCAATGATAGAAAAGGAAATATCTTCATATAAAAACTAGACAGAATGATTCTCAGAATCTCCTTTGTGATGTGTGTGTTCAACTTACAGAGTTTAACCTTTCTTTTCATAGAGCATGTAGGAAACACTCTGTTTGTAAAGTCTGCATGTGGATATTTTGACCTCTTTTAGGCCTTCGATGGAAACGGGTTTTTTTCATGTAAGGCTAGACAGAAGAATTCGCAGTAACTTCCTTGTGTTGTGTGTATTCAACTGACAGAGTTGAACTTACATTTAGACAGAGCAGATTAGAAAAACTCTTTATGTGGAATTTTCAAGTGGAGATTTCAAGCGCGTTGAGGCCAAAGGCAGAAAAGGAAATATCTTCGTATAAAAACTAGACAGAATCATTCCCTCAAACTGCGTTGTGATGTGTTCGATCAACTCACGGAGTTTAACCTTTCTTTTCATACAGCAGTTAGGAAACACTCTGTTTGTAAAGTCTGTAAGTGGATATGCTGACATCTTGTGGCCTTCGTTGGAAACGAGATGTCTTCATATTCTGCTAGACAGAAGAATTCTCAGTAACTTCCTTGTGTTGTGTGTATTCAACTCACAGAGTTGAACGATCCTTTACACAGAGCAGATTTGAAACACTCTTTTTGTGGAATTTGCAAGTGGAGATTTCAGCCGCTTTGAGGTCAATGGCAGAAAAGGAAATATCTTCTTTTAAAAACTAGACAGAATGATTCTCAGTAAGTTCTTTGTGATGTGTGCGTTAAACTCACAGGGATTAACCTTTCTTTTCATAGAGCAGTTAGGAAACACTCTGTTTGTAAAGTCTGCAAGTGGATATTCAGACCTCCTTGAGGCCCTCGTTGGAAACGGGATTTATTCAAATTATGCTAGACAGAAGAATTCTCAGTAACTTCCTTGTGTTGTGTGTATTCAACTCACAGAGTTGAACGATCCTTTACACAGAGCAGATTAGAAACACTCTTTTTCTCGAATTTGCAGGTAGAGATTTCAGCCGCTTTGCGGTCAATAGTAGAAAAGGGAATATCTTCGTATAAAAACTAGACAGAATCATTCTCAGAAACTGCTCGGCGATGTGTGCGTTCAACTTTCAGAGTTTAACTTTTCTTTTCATTCAGCAGTTTGGAAACACTCTGTTTGTAATGTCTGCACGTGGATATTTTGACCTCTTAGAGGCCTTCGTTGGAAACGGGTTTTTTTCATGTAAGGCTAGACAGAAAAATTCCCAGTAACTTCCGTGTGTTGTGTGCATTCAACTCACAGAGTTGAACGTTCCCTTAGACAGAGCAGATTTGAAAAACTCCTTTTGTGCAATTTGGAATTGGAGATTTCAAGCGCTTTAATGTCAATGGCAGAAAAGAAAATACCTTCGTTTCAAAACTAGACAGAATCATTCCCACAAACTGCGTTGTGATGTGTACGTTCAACTCACAGAACTTAACCTTTCTTTACATAGAGCAGTTAGGAAACAGTCTGTTTGTAAACTCTGCAAGTGGATATACAGACCTCTTTGAGGCCTTCGTTGGAAACGGGATTTCTTCATACTATGCTAGACAGAAGAATTCTCAGTAACTTCCTTGTGTTGTGTGTATTCAACTCACAGAGTTGAATGATCCTTTACACAGAGCAGACTTGAAACACTCTTTTTGTGGAATTTGCAAGTGGAGATTTCAGCCGCTTTGAAGTCAAAGGTAGAAAAGGAAATATCTTCGTATTAAAACTAGACAGAATGATTCTCAGAAACTCCTTTGTGATGTGTGCGTTCAACTCACAGAGTTTAACCTTTCTTTTCATAGAGCAGTTAGGAAACACTCTGTTTGTAAA
>NT_187405.1:0-998 GCF_000001405.40 Homo sapiens
GGAGTTTCTGAGAATCATTCTGTCTAATTTTTATATGAAGATATTTCCTTTTCTATCATTGACATCAAAGCGGAGGAAATCTCCACTTGCAAATACCACAAAAAGAGTGTTTCAAATCTGCTCTGTGTAAATGAAAGTTCAACTCTGTCAGTTGAATACACACAACACAAGGAAGTTACTGAGAATTCTTCTGTCTAGCCTTACATGAAAAAAAACCCGTTTCCAACGAAGGCCTCAAAGAGGTGAAAATATGCACTTGCAGACTTTACAAACAGAGTGTTTCCTAACTGCTTTATGAAAAGAAAGGTTAAACTCTGTGAGTTGAACACCCACATCACAAAGGAGTTTCTGAGAATCATTCTGTCTAATTTTTATATGAAGATATTTCCTTTTCTATCATTGACATCAAAGCGGCTGAAATCTCCACTTGCAAATACCACAAAAAGAGTGTTTCAAATCTGCTCTGTGTAAATGAAAGTTCAACTCTGTCAGTTGAATACACACAACAAAAGGAAGTTACTGACAATTCTTCTGTCTAGCCTTACATGAAAAAAACCCGTTTCCAACGAAGGCCTCAAAGAGGTTAAAATACCCACTTGCAGACTCTACAGAGTGTTTCCTAACAGCTCTATGAAAAGAAAGTTAAACTCTGTGAGTTGAACACCCACATCACAAAGGAGTTTCTGAGAATCATTCTGTCTAATTTTTATATGAAGATATTTCCTTTTCAACCATTGACCTCAAAGTGGCTGAAATCTCCATTTGCAAATTCCACAAAAAGAGTGTTTCAAGTCTGCTCTGTGTAAAGGTTCGTTCAACTCTGTGAGTTGAATACACACAACACGAGGAAGTTACTGAGAATTCTTCTGTCTAGCAGAATATGAGGAAATCCCGTTCCAACGATGGCCTCAAAGAGGTCTGATTATCCACTTGCAGAATTACAAACAGAGTGTTTCCTAACTGCTCTATGAAAGAAAGTTAAACTCTGTGAGTTGACG
>NT_187406.1:0-1388 GCF_000001405.40 Homo sapiens
AGTGGATATTCAGACCTCCTTGAGGCCTTCGTTGGAAACGGGATTTCTTCATATTATGCTAGACAGAAGAATTCTCAGTAACTTCCTTGTGTTGTGTGTATTCAACTCACAGAGTTCAACGATCCTTTACACAGAGCAGACTTGAAACACTCTTTTTGTGGAATTTGCAAGTGGAGATTTCAGCCGCTTTGAGGTCAATGGTAGAATAGGAAATATCTTCCCATAGAAACTAGACAGAATGATTCTCACAAACTCCTTTGTGATGTGTGCGTTCAACTCACAGAGTTAAACCTTTCTTTTCATAGAGCAGTTAGGAAACACTCTGTTTGTAAAGTCTGCAAGTGGATATTCAGACCTCCTTGAGGCCTTCTTTGGAAAGGGGATTTCTTCATATTATGCTAGACAGAAGAATTCTCAGAAACTTCCTTGTGTTGTGTGTATTCAACTCTCAGAGTTGAACGACCCTTTACACAGAGCAGACTTGAAACACTCTTTTTGTGGAATTTGCAAGTGGAGATTTCAGCCGCTTTGAGGTCAATGGTAGAAAAGGAAATATCTTCGTATAAAAACTAGACAGAATGATTCTCAGAAACTTCTTTGTGATGTGTGCGTTCAACTCACAGAGTTTAACCTTTCTTTTCATAGAGCAGTTAAGAAACACTCTGTTTGTAAAGTCTGCAAGTGGATATTCAGACACCTTTGAGGCTTTCGTTGGAAACGGGATTTCTTCATATTCTGCTAGACAGAAAAATTCTCAGAAACTTCCTTGTGTTGTGTGTTTTCAACTCACAGAGTTGAACGATCCTTTACACAGAGTAGACTTGAAACACTCTTTTTGTGGAATTTGCAATTGGAGACTTCAGCCGCTTTGAGGTCAATGGTAGAAAAGGAAATATCTTCGTATAAAAACTAGACAGAATGATTCTCAGAAACTCCTTTGTGATGTATGCGTTCAACTCACAGAGTTTAACCTTTCTTTACATAGAGCAGTTAGGAAACACTCTGTTTGTAAAGTCTGCAAGTGGATATTCAGACCTCCTTGAGGCCTTCGTTGGAAACGGGATTTCTTCATATTATGCTAGACAGAAGAATTCTCAGTAACTTCCTTGTGTTGTGTGTATTCAACTCACAGAGTTCAACGATCCTTTACACAGAGCAGACTTGAAACACTCTTTTTGTGGAATTTGCAAGTGGAGATTTCAGCCGCTTTGAGGTCAATGGTAGAATAGGAAATATCTTCCCATAGAAACTAGACAGAATGATTCTCACAAACTCCTTTGTGATGTGTGCGTTCAACTCACAGAGTTAAACCTTCTTTTCATAGAGCAGTTAGGAAACACTCTGTTTGTAAAGTCTGCAAGTGGATATTCAGACCTCCTTGAGGCCTC
>NT_187406.1:10821-12399 GCF_000001405.40 Homo sapiens
AGAGCAGACTTTAAACACTCTTTTTGTGGAATTTGCAAGTGGAGATTTCAGCCGCTTTTAGTTCAATGGTAGAATAGGAAATATCTTCGTATAAAAACTAGATAGAATGATTCTGAGAAACTCCTTTGTGAGGTGTGCGTTCAACTCACAGAGTTTAACGTTTCTTTTCATAGAGCAGTTAGGAAACACTCTGTTTGTAAGGTCTGCAAGTGGATATTCAGACCTTTTTGAGGCCTTCGTTGTAAACGGGATTTCTTCATATTCTGTTAGACAGAGGAATTCTCAGTAACTTCCTTGTGTTGCGGGTATTCAACTCACAGTGTTGAATGATCCTTTACACAGAGCAGACTTGAAACACACTTTTTGTGGAATTTGCAAGTGGAGATTTCAGCCGTTTTGAAGTCAATGGTAGAAAAGGAAATATCTTCGTATAAAAACTAGACAGAATGATTCTCAGAAACACCTTTGTGATGTGGGCGTTCAACTCACAGAGTTTAACCTTTCTTTTCATAGAGCAGTTAGGAAACACTCGGTTTGTAAAGTCTGCAGGTGGATATTTCGACATCTTTGAGGCCTTTGTTGGAAACGGGTTTTTTTCATGTAAGGCTAGACAGAAGAAATCTCAGTAACTTCCTTGTGTTGTGTGTATTCAACTGACAGAGTTGAAGTTTCATTTAGACAGAGCAGATTTGAAACACTATTTTTGTGCAATTTGCAAGTGGAGATTTCAAGCGCTTTGGGGCCAAAGGCAGAAAAGGAAATATCTTCGTATAAAAACTAGACAGAATCATTCTCAGAAACTGTTCTGTGATGTGTGCGTTCAACTCTCAGAGTTTAACTTTTCTTTTCATTCAGCAGTTTGGAAACACTATGTTTGTAAACTCTGCAAATGGATATTCAGACCTCTTTGAGGCCTTCGTTGGAAAAGGGATTTCTTCATATTATGCTAGACAGAAGAATTCTCAGTAACTTCCTTGTGTTGTGTGTATTCAACTCACAGAGTTGAATGATCCTTTACAAAGAGCAGAGTTGAAACACTCTTTTTGCGGAATTTGCAAGTGGAGGTTTCAGCCCCTTTGAGTTCAATGGTAGAAAAAGAAATATCTTCGTATGAAAACTAGACAGAATGATTGTCAGAAACTCCTTTGTTATGTGGGCATTTAACTCACAGAGTTTAACCGTTCTTTTCATAGAGCAGTTAGGAAACACTCTGTTTGTAACGTCTGCAAGTGGATATTCAGACATATTTGAGGCCTTCTTTGGAAACGGGATTTCTTCATATTATGCTACACAGAAGAATTCTCAGTAACTTCCTTGTGTTGTGTGTATTCAACTCACAGAGTTGAAGGATCCTTTACACAGAGCAGACTTGAAATACTCTTTTTGTGGAATTTACACGTGGAGATTTCTGCCGCTTTGATGTCAATGGTAGAATAGGAAATATCTTCGTATAGAAACTAGACAGAATGATTCTCAGAAACTGCTTTGTGATGTGTGCGTTCACTCACAGAGTTTACCCTTTCTTTTATAGAGCAGTTAGGAACACTCTGTTTGTAAGTCTGCAGTGGATATCAGACC
>NT_187407.1:0-1952 GCF_000001405.40 Homo sapiens
GTAATATCCACTTGCAGACTTTACAAACAGAGTGTTTCCTAACTACTCTATGAAAAGAAGTTAAACTCTGTGAGTTGAACACCCACATCACAAAGGAGTTTTTGAGAGATCATTCTGTATAATTTTTATATGAAGATATTTCCTTTTCAACCATTGACCTCAAAGCGGCTGAAATCTCCATTTGCAAATTCCACAAAAAGTGTGTTTCAAGTCTGCTCTGTGTAAAGGATCTTTCAACTCTGTTAGTTGAATACACACAACACGAGGAAATTAGTGAGAATTCTTCTGTCTGGCAGAATGTGAAGAAATCTCGTTTCCAACGAAGGCCAAAAAGAGGTCTGATTATCCACTTGCAGACTTTACAAACAGCGTGTTTGCTAACTGCTCTATGAAAAGAAAGGTTAAACTCTATGAGTTGAACGCGCACATCACAAAGAAGTTTCTGAGAATCATTCTGTCTAGTTTTTATATGAAGATATTTCCTTTTCTATCATTGACACCAAAACGGCTGAAATCTCCACTTGCAAGTACCACAAAAAGAGTGTTTCAAATCTGCTCTGTGTAAATGAAAGTTCAACTCTGTGAGTTGAATACACACAACACGAGGAAGTTACTGGGAATTCTTCTGTCTAGCCTTATATGAAAAAAACCCGTTTCCAAAGAAGGCCTCAAACAGGTCTGAATATCCACTTGCAGACTTTACAACCAGAGTGTTTCCTAACTGCTCTATAAAAAGAAAGGTTAAACTCTGTGAGGTGAACGCACACATCACAAAGGAGTTTCTGAGAATCATTCTGTCTAGTTTTTATACGAAGATATTTCCTTTTCTACCTTGGACTTCAAAGCGGCTGAAATCTCCACTTGCAAATTCCACAAAAAGAGTGTTTCAAGTCTGCTCTGTGTAAGGGGTCATTCAACTCTGTGAGATGAATACACACAACACAAGGAAGTTACTGAGAATTCTTCTATCTAGCATAGTATGAAGAAATCCCGTTTCCAACGAAGGCCACAAGTTGTCAGAATATCCACTTACAGAATTTACAAACAGAGTGTTTCCTAACTGCTCTATGAAAAGAAAGGTTAAACTCTGTGAGTTGAACGAACACATAACAACGCAGTTTGTGGGAATGATTCTGTCTAGTTTTGAAACGACGATATTCCCTTTTCTGCCATTGACCTTAAAGCGCTTGAAATCTCCACTTGCCAATTGCACAAAAAGAGTGTTTCAAATCTGCTGTGTCTAAGGGAACCTTCAAATCTGTGAATTGAATGTACACAACACAAGGAAGTTACTGGGAATTCTTCTGTCTAGCCTTATATGAAAAAAACCCGTTTCCAACGAAGGCCTCTAAGTGGTCAAAATATCCACGTGCAGACGTTACAAACAGAGTGTTTCCAAACTGCTGAATGAAAAGAAAAGTTAAACTCTGAGAGTTGAACGCACACATCGCAGAGCAGTTTCTGAGAATGATTCTGTCTAGTTTTTATACGAAGATATTTCCTTTTCTGCCTTTGGCCTCAAAGCGCTTGAAATCTCGACTTGCAAATTCCACAAAAAGAGTGTTTCAAATCTTCTCTGTGTAAATGAAAGTTCAATGCGGTCAGTTGAATACACACAACACAAAGAAGTTACTGAGAATTCTTCTGTCTAGCCTTACATGAAAAAAAACCCGTTTCCAAAGAAGGCCTCAAAGAGGTGAAAATATCCACTTGCAGACTTTACAGAGTGTTTCCTAACTGCTCTATGAATAGAAAGTTAAACTCTGTGAGTTGAACACCACATCACAAAGGAGTTTCTGAGAATCATTCTGTCTAATTTTTGTATGAAGTTATTTCCTTTTCAACCATTGACCTCAAAGCGGCTGAAATCTCCATTTGCAAATTCCACAAAAAGAGTGTTTCAAGTCTGCTCAATGGATCGTTCACTCTGTGAGTTGAATACACACAACACA
>NT_187407.1:36018-37690 GCF_000001405.40 Homo sapiens
TCTGTCTAGCATTACATGAAAAAACCCGTTTCCAACGAAGGCTCAAAGAGGTTAAAATACCCACTTGCAGACTTTACAGAGTGTTTCCTAACAGCTCTATGAAAAGAAAGTTAAACTCTGTGAGTTGAACACCCACATCACAAAGGAGTTTCTGAGAATCATTCTGTCTAATTTTTATATGAAGATATTTCCTTTTCAACCATTGACCTCAAAGTGGCTGAAATCTCCATTTGCAAATTCCACAAAAAGAGTGTTTCAAGTCTGCTCAAAGGATCGTTCAACTCTGTGAGTTGAATACACACAACACAAGGAAGTTGCTGAGAATTCTTCTGTCAGGCATAATATGAAGAAATCCCGTTTGCAACGAAGGCCTCAAAGAGGTCTGAATATCCACTTGCAGACTTTACAAACAGAGTGTTTCCTAACTGCTCTATGAAAAGAAAGGTTAAACTCTGTGAGTTGAACGCACACATCATAAAGCAGTTTCTGAGAATCATTCTGTCTAGTTTTTATTCGAAGATATTTCGTTTTCTACCATTGACCTCAAAGCGGCTGAAATCTCCACTTGCAAATTCCACAAAAAGAGTGTTTCAATTCTGCTCTCTGTAAACCATCGTTCAACTCTGTGAGTTGAATACACACAACACAAGGAAGATTCTGAGAATTCTTCTGTCTAGCAGAATATGAAGAAATCCCGTTTCCAACGAAGGCCACAAGATTTCAGAATATCCACTTACAGAATTTACAAACAGAGTGTTTCCTAACTGCTCTATGAAAAGAAAGGTTAAACTCTGTGAGTTGAACGAACACATCACAACGCAGTTTGTGGGAATCATTCTGTCTACTTTTGAAACGAAGATATTTCCTTTTCTGCCAGTGACCTTAAAGCGCTTGAAATCTCCACTTGTCAATTGCACAAAAAGAGTGTTTCAAATCTGCTCTGTCTAAGGGAACGTTCAACTCTGTGAGTTGAATGTACTCAACACAAGGAAGTTACTGGGAATTATTCTGTCTAGCCCTACATGACAAAAACCCGTTTCCAACGAAGGCCTCTATGTGGTCAAATTATCCACGTGCAGACTTTTCAAACAGAGTGTTTCCAAACTGCTGAATGAAAAGGAAAGTTAAACTCTGAGAGTTGAACGCACACATCACAGAGCAGTTTCTGAGAATCATTCTGTCTAGTTTTTATACGAAGATATTTCCTTTTCGGCCTTTGGCCTCAAAGCGCTTGAAATCTCCACTTGCAAATTCCACAAAAAGAGTGTTTCAAATCTGCTCTGTCTAAATGAAAGTTCAACTCTGTCAGTTGAATACACACAACAAAAGCAAGTTACTGAGAATTCTTCTGTCTAGCCTTACATGAAAAAAACCCGTTTCCAACGAAGGCCTCAAAGAGGTTAAAATACCCACTTGCAGACTTTACAGAGTGTTCCTAACAGCTCTATGAAAAGAAAGTTAAACTCTGTGAGTTGAACACCCACATCACAAAGGAGTTTCTGAGAATCATTCTGTCTAATTTTTATATGAAGATATTCCCTTTACAACCATTGACCTCAAAGCGGCTGAAATCTCCACTTGCAAATTCCACAAAAAGAGTGTTTCAAGTCTGCTCAAAGGATCGTTCAACTCTGTGAGTTGAATACACACAACACAAGGAAGTGCTGAGAAT
>NT_187408.1:0-1179 GCF_000001405.40 Homo sapiens
AAAAGAGTGTTTCAAAACTGCCCTGAATAAAGGAAGGTTCAACTCTGTGAGTTGAATTCACACAACACAAAGGATTTACTGAGAATTCTTCTGTCTAGCAGTAAATGAAAAAATCTCTCTTCCAACGAAGTACACAAAGGGGTCCAAGTATTCACTTGCAGACTTTACAGACAGAGTCTTTCCAAACTGCTCTATAAAAAGAAAGGTGAAACTCTGTAAGCTGAACGCAGACATCACAAAGCAGTTTCTGAGAATGATTCTGTGTAGTTTTTACACGAAGAGATTTCCATTTCAAAGATTGGCCTCAAATCGCTTGAAATCTCCACTTGCAAATTCCACAGAAAGAGTTTTTCAAAACTGCTCTGTCTAAAGGAAGGTTCAACTCTGTGACTTGAATACACACAACAGAAAGAAGTTACTGAGAATTCTTCTGTCTAGCATTATATGAAGAAATCCCGTTTCCAACGAAGGCCTCAGAGAGGTCCAAATATCCACTTGCAGACTTTACAAATAGAGTGTTTCCAAACTGCTCTATTAAAAGAAAGGTTAAACTCTGTGTGTTGAAGGCACACATCAGAAACTAGTTTCTGCGAATGACTCTGTGTAGTTTTACTACGAAGATATTTCCATGTCTAAGATTGGCCTCAAATCGCTTGAATTCTCCACTTGCAAATTCCACACAAAGAGTGTTTCAAAACTGCTCAGGATAAAGGATGGTTCAACTCTGTGTGTTGAATACACACAGCAAAAAGATTTACTGAGAATTCTTCTGTCTAGCAGTATATGAAAAAATTCCGCTTCCAATGAAGGCCTCAAAGGGATCCAAATATTCACTAGCAGACATTACAGGCAGAGTCTTTCCTAACTGCTCTATGAAAAGAAAGGTGAAACTCTGTGAGCTGAACGCACACATCACAAAGTAGTTTCTGACAATGATTCTGTCAAATTTTACACGAAGATATTTCCATTTCAAAGATTGGCCTCAAATCACTTGAAATCCCCACTTGCAAATTGCACAGAAAGAGTTTTCCAAAACTGCTCTGTCTAAAGGAAGGTTCAAATCTGTGAGATCAATACACACAACACAAAGAGGTGACTGAGAATTCTTCTGTCTAGCATTATATGAAGAAATCCCGTTTCCAACGAACGCCTCAAAGAGGTCCAAATAAGCACTTGCAG
>NT_187409.1:0-2646 GCF_000001405.40 Homo sapiens
GAGTTGAGGCACACATCACAAACTAGTTTCTGCGAATGACTCTGTGTACTTTTAATACGAAGATATTTCCATCTCTAAGATAGGCGTCAAATCTCTTGAAATCTCCACCTGGAAATTCCACAAAAAGAGTGTTTCAAAACTGCTCTGAATAAAGGAAGGTTCCACTCTGTGAGTTGAATACAAACAACACAAAGAAGTTACTGAGAATTCTTCTGTCTAGCATTATATGAGGAAATCCCGTTTCCAACGAAGGGCTCAAAGAGGGCCAATTATCCACCTGCAGACTTACAAAGAGTGTATTTCCAAACTGCTCGATTAAAGAAAGGTTAAACTCTGTGAGTTGAACACACACATCACAAAGTGTTTTCTGAGAATGATTTTGTCTAGTTTTAATACGAAGATATATCCTTTTCTATCACTGTCTTCGAAGCGTTTGAAATCTGCACTAGCAAATTCCACAAAAAGTGTTTCAACTCTGCTCTCTCTAAAGAAACGTTCAACTCTGTGAGTTGAATACACACAACACAAAGAAGCTACTGAGAATTCTTCTGTCTAGCGTTATATGAAGAAATCCCTTTTCCAACGAAGGAATCAAAGAGGTCCAAATATCCAGTTGCAGACTTTACAAATAGAGTGTTTCCAAACTGCTCTATGAAAAGAAAGGTTAAACTCTGTGAGTTGAAGGCACACATCACAAACTAGTTTCTACGAATGACTCTGTGTACTTTTAATATGAAGATATTTCCATGTCTAAGATTGGCGTCAAATCTCTTGAAATCTCCACTTGCAAATTCCACAAAAAGAGTGTTTCAAAACTGCTCTGAATAAAGGAAGGTTCCACTCTGTGAGTTGAATACACACAACACAAAGGATTTACTGAGAATTCTTCTGTCTAGCAGTAAATGAGACATCCCGCTTCCAACGAAGGCCTCAAAGAGGTCTAACTAATCACTTGCAGACTTTACAGACAGAGTCTTTCCAAACTGCTCTATGAAGAGAAAAGTGAAAGTCTGTGAACTGAACGCACAGATAACAAAGCAGTTTCTGAGAATGATTCTGTGTAGTTTTTATACGAAGATATTTCCATTTCAAAGATTAGCCTCAAATCGCTTGAAATCTCCACTTGCAAATTCCACAGAAAGAATTTTTCAAAACTGCTCTGTCTAAAGGAAGGTTCAACTCTGTTACTTGAATACACACAACACAAAGAAGTGATTGAGAATTCTTCTGTCTAGCATTATATGAAGAAATCCCGTTTCCAACGAAGGCCTCAATGAAGTCTAAAAAAGCACTTGCAGGCTTTACAAACAGAGTGTTTCCAAACTGCTCTATAAAAAGAAAGGTTAAACTCTGTGAGTTGAACGCACACATCACAAAGTAGTTGTTGAGAATGATTCTGTGTAGTTTTTATACGAAGATATTTCCTTTTCTGCCATAGGCCTAGAAGCGCATGAAATCTGCACTTGCAAATTCCAAAAACAGAGTGTCTCAAATCTGCTCTCTCTAAAGGAAGGTTCAAATCTGTGGGTTGAATACTAACAACACAAAGAAGTTACTGAGAATTCTTCTGTCTAGCATTATATGAGGAAATCCCGTTTCCAACGAAGGGCTCAAAGAGGGCCAATTATCCACCTACAGACTTACAAAGAGTGTATTTCCAAACTGCTCGATTAAAGAAATGTTAAACTCTGTGAGTTGAACACACACATCACAAAGAGTTTTCTGAGAATGATTTTGTCTAGTTTTAATGCGAAGATATATCCTTTTCTATCACTGTCTTCGAAGCTTTTGAAATCTGCACTAGCAAATTCCACAAAAAGAGTGTTTCACCTCTGCTCTCTCTCAAGAAAGGTTCAACTCTGTGAGTTGAATACACATAACACAAAGAAGTTACTGAGAATTCTTCTGTCTAGCGTTATATGAAGAAATCCCGTTACCAACGAAGGCCTCAAAGAGGTCCAAATATCCACTTGCAGATTTTACAAATAGAGTGTTTCCAAACTGCTTTATGAAAAGAAAGGTTAAACTCTGTGAGCTGAAGGCACACTTCACAAACTAGTTTCTACGAATGACTCTGTGTACTTTTAATATGAAGATATTTCCATGTCTAAGATTGGCGTCAAATCGCTTGAAATCTCCACTTGCAAATTCCACAAAAAGAGTGTTTCAAAACTGCTCTGAATAAAGGAAGTTTCCACTCTGTGAGTTGAATACACACAACACAAAGGATTTACTGAGAATTCTTCTGTCTAGCAGTAAATGAGAAATCCCTCTTCCAACGAAGACCTCAAAGGGGTCTAACTAATCACTTGCAGACTTTACAGACAGAGTCTTTCCAAACTGCTCTATGAACAGAAAGGTGAAACTCTGTGAACTGAACGCACAGATAACAAAGCAGTGTCTGAGAATGATTCTGTGTAGTTTTTACACGAAGATATTTCCATTTCAAAGATTAGCCTCAAATCGCTTGAAATCTCCACTTGCAAATTCCACAGAAAGAATTTCTCAAAACTGCTCTGTCTAAAGGAAGGTTCAACTCTGTGACTTAGATACACACCACACAAGAAGTGACTGAGAATTCTTCTGCCTAGCATTATATGAAGAAATCACGTTTCCAACGAACGCTTCAAAGAGGTCCAAATATGC
>NT_187410.1:0-2489 GCF_000001405.40 Homo sapiens
TTAACCTTTCTTTTAATCGAGCAGTTTGGAAACACTGTCTTTGTATGTCTGTAAGTGGTTAATTGGCCCTCTTTGAGCCCTTCTTTGGAAACGAGATTTCCTCATATAATGCTAGACAGAAGAATTCTCAGTAACTTCTTTGTGTTGTTTGTATTCAACTCACGGATTTGAACCTTCCTTTAGAGAGAGCAGATTTGAAACACTCTTTTTTTGGAATTTGCAAGTGCAGACTTCAAGCGCTTCTGGGCCTATGGCAGAAAAGGAAATATCTTCGTATAAAAACTACACAGAATCATTCTCAAGAACCACTTTGTGATGTGTGCGTTCAACTCACAGATTTTAACCTTTCTTTTAATCGAGCAGTTTGGAAACACTCTGTTTGTAAAGTCTGCACGTGCATATTTGGACTTCTTTGAGGCCTTCCTTGGAAACGGGATTTCTTCATATAATGCTAGACAGAAGAATTCTCAGTCACCTCTTTGTGTTGTGTGTATTGATCTCACAGATTTGAGCCTTCCTTTAGACAGAGCAGTTTTGAAAATCTCTTTCTGTGGAATTAGCAAGTGGAGATTTCAAGTGATTTGAGGCCAATCTTTGAAATGGAAATATCTTCGTGTAAAATTAGACAGAATCATTGTCAGAAACTACTTTGTGATGTGTGCTTTCAGCTCACAGAGTTTCACCTTTCTTTTCATAGAGCAGTTTGGAAAGACTCTGTTTGTAATGTCTGCTAGTGAATACTTGGACCCCTTTGAGGCCTTCGTTAGAAGCGGAATTTTTTATATACTGCTAGACAGAAGAATTCTCAGTAAATCTTTCTGCTGTGTGTATTCAACACACAGAGTTGAACCATCCTTTATCCTGAGCAGTTTTGAAACACTCTTTGTGTGGAATTTGCAAGTGGAGAATTCAAGCGATTTGAGGCCAATCTTAGACATGGAAATATCTTCGTAGTAAAACTACACAGAGTCATTCGCAGAAACTAGTTTCTGATGTGTGCCTTCAACTCACAGAGTTTAATCTTTCCTTTAATAGAGCAGTTTGGAAACACTCCATTTGTAAAGTCTGCAAGTGCTTATTTGGACCTCTCTGAGGCCTTCGTTGGAAACGGGATTTCTTCATATAATGTTAGACAGAAGAATTCTCAGTAACTTCTTTGTGTTGTGTGTATTCAACTCACAGGGTTGAACCTTTCTTTACAGAGAGCAGATTTGAAACATTCTTTCCGTGGAATTTGCTAGTGCAGATTTCAAACGCTTCGAGGACAATGGTAGAAAAGGATATATCTTCGTATTAGAATGAGAGAAAAGCATTCTCAGAAAACACTTTGTAATGTGTGCGTTCAACTCACAGAGTTTAACCTTTCTTTTAATCGAGCAGTTTGCAAACACTCTCTTTGTAATGTCTGCAAGTTGTTAATTGGCCCTCTTTGAGCCCTTCTTTGGAAACGAGATTTCCTCACATAAGGCTTGACAGAAGAATTCTCAGCAACTTCTTTGTGTTGTTTGTATTCAACTCACGGATTTGAAGCTTCCTTTAGAGAGAGCAGATTTGAAACACTCTTTTTTTGGAATTTGCAAGAGCAGATTTCAAGCGCTTCTAGGCCTATGGCAGAAAAGGAAATATCTTCGTATAAAAACTACACAGAATCATTCTCAAGAACTACTTTGTGATGTGTGCATTCAACTCACAGATTTTAACCTTTCTTTTAATCGAACAGTTTGGAAACACTCTGTTTGTAAAGTCTGCAAGTGTATATTTGGACTTCTTTGAGGCCTTCGTTGGGAACGGGAGTTTTTCATATGCTGCTAGACAGAAGAATTCTCAGTCACTTCTTTGTGTTGTGTGTATTCAAGTCACAGAATTGAAACTTCATTTACACAGAGCAGTTTTGAAAAACTCTTTCTGTGGAATTTGCAAGTGGAGATTACATGCGATTTAAGGCCAATCTTTGAAATGGAAATATCTCCGTGTAAAAACTAGACAGAATCATTCTCAGAAACTACTTTGTGATGTGTGCGTTCAACTCACAGGGTTTAACCTTTCTTTTCATAGAGCAGTTTGGAAACACTCTGGTTGTAAAGTCTGCAAGTGCATATTTGGACTTCTTTGAGACCTTTGTTGGAAATGGGATTTCTTCATATAATGCCAGACAGAAGAATTCTCAGTCACCTCTTTGTGTTGTGTGTATTGATCTCACAGATTTGAACCTTCCTTTAGACAGAGTAGTTTTGAGAAACTCTTTCTGTGGAATTTGCAAGTGGAGATTACATGCGATTTAAGGCCAATCTTTGAAATGGAAATATCTCTGTGTAAAAACTAGACAGAAACATTCTCAGAAACTACTTTGTGATGTGTGTGTTCAACTCACAGGGTTTAACCTTTTCTTTTCATAGAGCAGTTTGGAAACACTCTGGTTGTAAAGTCTGCAAGTGCATATTTGGACTTCTTTGAGGCCTTCATTGGAAACGGGATTTCTTCATATAATG
>NT_187411.1:0-1029 GCF_000001405.40 Homo sapiens
GCAGTGGATATGTGGACCTCTTTGAAGATTTCGTTGGAAAAGGGTTCATCTTCAAAGAAAAACTAAACAGAAGCATTCTCAGAAACAACTTTGTGATGTTTGTGTTCAACTTGCAGAGTTGACCTTTCCTCTTGACAGAGCAGCTATGAAACATTGTTTTTCTAGAATCTGCAAGTGGACATTTGGAGGGTTTTGGGGCCTTTGGCAGAAACGTAAATATCTGCATATAATAACTAGATAGAAGCATTCTGAGAATCTACTTTGTGATGATTGCATTCGACTCACAGAGTTAAACCTTCCAATGGAGAAATCAGTTTGTAAACACTCTTTTTGTAGAATCTGCGATTGCTGATTCGGACTGCATTGAGGCCTACGGTACTAAAGGAAATAACTTCATCTAAAAACCAAACCGAAGCATTCACAGAAAATTCTTTGTGATGATTGGATTGAACTAAGAGAGCTGAACATTCCTTTAGATGGCGCAGTTTCCAAACAGACTTTATGTAGAATCTGCAAGTGGATATTTGGACCTCTGTGAGGATTTCGTTGGAAATGTGATAAACTTCCCAGAACTACACGGAAGCATTCTCAGAAACATGTGTGTCACTGTTGCATTCAACTCACAGAGTTGAACCTTCCTTTCATAGTTCAGCTTTCAAACACTCTATTTGTAGAATCTGCAAGTGGATATTTGGACCACTTTGTGGCCTTCCTTCGAAACGTGTATATCTTCACATCAAACCTAGACAGAAGCATTCTCAGAATGTTTCCTGTGAAGACTGCATTCAACGCACAGAGGTGAACAATCCTGTTGATGGAGCAGTTTGAAACTCTCTTTCTTTGGAATCTGCAAGTGGATATTTGGACCTCTTTGAAGATTTCCTTGGAAAAGTGTTCATCTTCAAAGAAAAACTAAACAGAAGCATTCTCAGAAACTCCTTTGTGTTGTTTGTGTTCCACTTCAAGAATTGAACTTTCCTCTTGACAGAGCAGCTCTGAAACTCTCTTTTTCTAGAATCTGCAAGTGGA
>NT_187412.1:0-2145 GCF_000001405.40 Homo sapiens
TCGATGCATCATCACAAAGTAGTTTCTGAGAATGCTTCCATCTAGGTTTTATGTGAAGATATTTCCTTTTCCACCACAGGCCTCAAAGCCCTCCAAATGTCCACTTGCAGATTCTAGAGAAAGAGGGTTTCAGAGCTGTTCTGTCAAGAGGAAAGTTCAATTCTTGAAGTGGAACACAAACATCACAAAGCAGTTTCTGAGAATGCTTCTGTTTAGTTTTTCTTTGAAGATGAACCCGTTTCCAAGGAAATCGTCAAAGAGGTCCACATATCCACTTGCAGATTCCAAAGAAAGAGAGGTTCAAAACTGCTCCATCAACAGGATTGTTCACCTCTGTGCGTTGAATGCAGTCATCACAGGAAACATTCTGAGAATGCTTCTGTCTAGGTTTGATGTGAAGATATACCCGTTTCGAAGGAAGGCCACAAAGTGGTCCAAATATCCACTTGCAGATTCTACAAATAGAGTGTTTGAAAGCTGAACTATGAAAGGAAGGTTCAACTCTGTGAGTTGAATGCAAAAGTGAGAAAGATATTTCTGAGAATGCTTTCGTGTAGTTCTGGGAAATTTATCCCATTTCCAACGAAATCCTCAGAGAGGTCCAAATATCCACTTGCAGATTCTACAGAAAGTGTGTTTGGAAACTGCTGCATCTAAAGGAATGTTCAGCTCTCTGAGTTCAATCCAATCATCACAAAGAATTTTCTGTGAATGCTTCCGTTTGGTTTTTAGATGAAGTTATTTCCTTTAGTACCGTAGGCCTCAATGCAGTCCAAATCAGCAATCACAGATTCTGCAAAAGGAGTGTTTACAAACTGCTCTATCTATTGGAAGGTTCAACTCTGTGAGTCGAATGCAATCATCACAAAGTAGGTTCTCAGAATGCTTCTATCTAGTTATTATATGCAGATATTTACGTTTCCGCCAAAGGCCCCAAAACCCTCCAAATGTCCACTTGCAGGTTCTAGAAAAACAATGTTTCATAGCTGCTCTGTCAAGAGGAATGTTCAACTCTGCAAGTTGAACACAAACATCACAAAGTTGTTTCTGAGAATGCTACTGTTTAGTTTTTCTTTGAAGATGAAACCGTTTCCAACGAAATCTTCAAATAGGTCCACATATCCACTTTCAGATTCCAGAGAAAGAGAGATTCAAAACTGCTCCATCAGCAGGATTGTTCACCTCTGTGCGTTGAATGCAGTAATCACAGGAAACATTGTGAGAATGCTTCTGTCTAGGTTTGATGTGAAGATATACCCGTTTCGAAGGAAGGCCACAAAGTGGTCCAAATATCCACTTGCAGTTTCTACAAAAAGAGTGTTTGAAAGCTGAACTATGAAAGCAAGGTTCAACTCTGTGAGTTGAATGCAACATCACAAAGTAGTTTCTGAGAATGCTTCTGTGTAGTTCTGGGAATTTATCCCTTTTCCAACGAAATCCTCAGAGAAGTCCCAATATCCACTTGCATATTCTACAGAAAGTGTGTTGGGAAACTGCGCCATCTAAAGGAATGTTCAGCTCTCTTAGTTCAATCCAATGATCACAAAGTATTGTCTGTGAATGCTTCCGCTTGGTTTTTCGATGAAGTTATTTCCTTTACTACAGTAGGCCTCAAAGAAGTCCAAATCTCCAATCGCAGATTCTACAGAAAGATTGTTTACAACCTGCTCTATCTATAGGAATTTTCAACTCTATGAGTCGAATGCAATCATCACAAAGTAGTTTCTGAGAATGCTTCTATCTAGGTTTTATGTGAAGATGTTTCCTTTTCCACCACAGGCCTCAAAGCCCTCCAAATGTCCACTTGCAGATTCTAGAAAAAGGGAGTTTCAGAGCTGCTCTGTCAAGAGGAAAGTTCAATTCTTGAAGTGGAACACAAACAACACAAAGGAGTTTCTGAGAATGCTTCTGTTTAGTTTTTCTTTGAAGATGAACACTTTTCCAAGGAAATCTTCAAAGAGGTCCAAATATCCACTTGCAGATTCCAAAGAAAGAGAGTTTCAAACTGCTCCATCAACAGGATTGTTCACCTCTGTGCGTTGAATGCAGTCTTCACAGGAAACATTCTGAGAATGCTTCTGTCTAGGTTTGATGTGAGATATACACGTTTCGAGAAGGCCACAAAGTGGTCCAATATCCACTTGC
>NT_187413.1:0-2321 GCF_000001405.40 Homo sapiens
TCCAAATATCCACTTGCAGATTCTACAGAAAGAGTGTTTGAAAGCTGAACTATGAAAGGAAAGTTCAACCCCGTGAGTTGAATGCAAACATCACAAAGAATTTTCGGAGAATGCTTCCGATTACTTCTGTGAAGTTTATCCCGTTTCCAACGAAATCCTCAGAGAAGTCCAAATTTCCACTTGCAGATTCTACAAAAAGTGTGTTTGGAAACTGCTCCATCAAAACGAATGTTCAGCTCTCTGAGTTAAACTCAATCGTCACAAAGAATTTTCTGAGAGTCCTCCTGTCTAGTTCTTATATGAAGTTCTTTCCTTTACTACCATAGGCCTCAAAGCGGTCCAAATCTCCACTTGCAGATTCTGCAGAAAGAGTGTTTCCAAACTGCTCTCTCAAAAGGAATGTTCAACTCTGTGAGTTGAATGCTATCATCACAGAGTCGTTTCTGAGAGTGCTTCTGTGTAGTTTTTACGAGAAGATATTTCCTTTTCCACCACCATCCCCAAAGCCCTCCAAATGTCCACCTGCAGATTCTAGAAAACGAGCGTTTCAAAGGTGCTGTATCAGAGGGAATCTTCAACTCTGTGAGGTGAATGCAAACATCACAAAGAAGTTTCTGAGAATGCTTCGGTTTAGCTTTTATGTGAAGTTTACCCCATTTCCAACGAAATCTTCAAAGAGGTCCAAATATCCACTTGCGGATCCCACAGAAAGGGTGTTTCGAAACTGCTGTTTCAAAAGGAATCTTCAACTCTGTGAGTTGAATGCAGTCATCACAAAGAAGTTTCTGACAATGCTTCTGTCTAGTTTTTATGTGAAGATGTTTCCTTTTCCACCACAGGCCTGGAAGCGCTCCACATGTCCAATTGCAGATTCTACGAAAGGAGTGTTTCAAAACTGCTCTATGAGAAGCAATGTTAAACTGTGTGACTCGAACACAAACATCACAAAGAAGTTTGTGAGAATTCTTTAGTTTAGTTTTTCTGTGAAGATATTCCCGTTTCCAAGGAAATCTTCAAAGAAGTCCACATATCCTCTTAGAGTTTCTACAAAAAGAGAATTTCCAAACTGCTCAATCAAATGGAGGGTTCCACTCTGTGACTTGAATGCAATCATCACACAGAAGTTTCTAAGAATGCTTCTCTTGAGTTGTTACGCGTAGATATACCCGATTCGAACGAAGGCCTCACAGTGGTCCAAATATCCACCTGCAGATTCTACAAAAAGGGTGTCTCCCAGCTGAACTACGAAAGGAAGGTTCAACTGTGTGAGTTGTATGCAAACATCACCAGGAAGTTTCGGAGAATGCTTCCGTGTATTTCTGGGAAGTGTATCCCCTTTCCAACGAAATCCTCAGAGAGGTCTGAATATCCACTTGCAGATCCTACAAAAAGTGTGTTTGAAAACTGCTCCATCTAAAGGAATGTTCAGCTCTCTCAGTTAAATACGATCATCACAAAGAATTTTCTGTGAATGCTTCCGTTTGGTTTTTATATGAAGTTATTTCCTTTACTACCGTAGGTTTCAAAGCAGTCCAAAGCTCCAATTGCAGATTCCACAAAAAGAGTGTTTACAAACTGTCCTATCCATAGGAATGCCCAACTCTGTGAGTCCGATGCAATCATCACAAAGTAGTTTCTGAGAATGCTTCTATCTAGTTTTTATGTGAAGATATTTCCTTTTCCACCGCAGGCCTCAAAGCCCTCCAAATGTCCACTTGCACATTCTTGAAAAAGAGTGTTTCATAGCTGCTCTTTCAAGAGGAAAGTTCAACTCTGGAAGTTGAACACAAACATCACAAAGTAGTTTCTGAGAATGCTCCTGTTTAGTTTTTATGTGAACATGAACCCGTTTCCAACGAAATCTTCAAAGAGGTCCACATATCCACTTGCAGATCCCAAAGAAAGGGAGTTTCAAAACTGCTCCATCAACAGGATTGTTCAACTCTGTGAGTTGAATGCAGTCATCACAGGAAACCTTCTGAGAATGCTTCTGTCTAGGTTTGATGTGAAGATATACCCGTTTCGAAGGAAGGCCACAAAATGGTCCAAATATCCACTTGCAGATTCTACAGAAAGAGTGTTTGAAAGCTGAACTATGAAAGGAAGGTTCAACCCCGTGAGTTGAATGCAAACATCACAAAGAAGTTTCGGAGAATGCTTCCGATTACTTCTGGAAAGTTTATCCCGTTTCCAATGAAATCCTCAGAGAAGTCCAAATTTCCACTTGCAGATTCTGCAGAAAGAGTCTTTGCAAACTGCTCTCTCAAAAGGAATGTTCAACTCTGTGAGTTGAATGCTATCATCACAGAGTCGTTCTGAGA
>NT_187414.1:0-2140 GCF_000001405.40 Homo sapiens
TCAAAACGGCTATACCTTCACATAAAACTAGACAGAAGAAAAATCAGAAACTTCCTTGTGATGTCTGCATTCACATCAGAGATTTGAAACTTCCTATTGATAGAGCAGTCTTTAAACACTCTTTTTGTAGAATCTGCAACTGGACATTGGCAGCACTTTGAGGCCTATGCTAGCAAATGAAATATCTTCATATAAAAACTAGACAGAAGCATTCTCAGAAACTACTTTGTGATGTGCGTATTCAACTCAGAAAGTTGAAACTTTCTTTTGATAGAACAGTTTTGAAACTCTCTTTTTGTATAATCTGCAAGTAGACATTTGGAGCACTGCGAGGCCTGTGGTGGAAAAGGAAATATCTTCACAAAAAACTAGACAGAAGCATTCTCAGAAACTTCTCTGTGATGATTGCATTCAACTCACAGAGTTGAACACTCCTGTTGATAGAGCAGTTTTTAAACACTCTTTTTGTAGAATCTGCAAGTGGAGATTTGGACTGCTTTGAGGCATATGATAGTATAGGAAATAACTTCATGTAAAAACCTGACAAAAGCATTCTCAGAAACTCATAGAGCTGAGCATTCCTTTTGATGGAGCAGTTTCAAATCACACGTTTGGCATAATCTGCAAGTGGGTATTTGGACCACTTTGAGGATTCCATTGTAAAAGGGATAAAATTGACGTAATTAAACAGAAGCATTCTCAGAAACATCTTTGTGAAGTTTGCATTCAACACACAGAGTTGAAATTTCCTTTGATAGTTCAGGATTGAAACACTGTTTTTGTAGAATCTGTAAGTGGATATTTGGACCACTTTGTGGCCTTCGTTCGAAACGGGTATATCCTCACATAAAAACTAGACAGAAGCATTCTCAGAAGCTTCTCTGTGATGATTGCATTCATCTCACAAGTTGAACACTCCTTTTGATATATCAGTTTTGAAACACTCTTTTTGAAGAATCTGCAAGTGGAAATTTGGACTGCTTTGCAGCCTACGGTACTAAACGAAATAACTTCATATAAAAACTAGACAGAAGCATTCTCAGAAAATTTTTGTGATGATTGAGTTTAACTCACAGAGCTGAACATTCCTTTGGATGGAGCAGTTTCAAAACACACCTTTTTGTAAAATCTGCAAGTGGACATTTTTACCTCTCTGAGGATTTCGTTGGAAACGGGATAAATATCACATAAATAAACAGAAGCATTCTCAGAAAATTCTTTGTGATGTTTGCATTCAACTCACGGAGTTGGAACTTCCTTTAATAGTTCAGGTTTGAAACACTCTTTTCGTAGAATCTGCAAGTGGATATTTGGACCAATTTGTGGCCTTCGTTCCAAACGTGTATATCTTCACATTAAAACTACACAGAAGCATTCTCAGAAACTTTTCTGTGATGACTACGTTCAACTCACACAGTTGAACACTCCTTGTGGTACAGTAGTTTTGAAACTCTCTTTCTGTGGAATCTGCAAGTGGATATGCGGATCTCTTTGAAGATTTCCTTGGAAACTGGATCATCTTCACAGAAAAACTAAACAGAAGCATTCTCAGAGACTGATTTCTGTTGTTTGTATTCAAATTCTGGAGTTGAACTTTCCTTTTGAAACAGCAGCTGTGAAACACAATTTTTCAAGAATCTGCAAGTGGACATTTGGAGGGCTTTGAGGCCTGTGGTGGAAAAGGAAATATCTTCACATAAAAACTAGATAGAAGCATTCTCAGAAACCATTTTGTGGTGATTGCATTCAACTCACAGAGTTCAACGTTCATACTGAAAGAGCAGTTTGGAAACCCTCTTTTTGTAGAATCTGCAAGTGGAGATTTGGACCGCATTGAGGCCTATGGGAGTAAAGGAAATAACTTCATATAAAAACTAAACAGAAGCATTCTCAGAAAATCCTTTGTGATGGTTGAGTTTAACTCACAGAGCTGAACATTCGTTTTGATGGAGCAGTTTCAAAACAGTCTTTTTGTAGAATCTGCAAGTGGATATTTGGATCTCTTGGGAGGATTTCATTGGAAATTAGATAAAATTCACATAACTAAACAGAAGCATTCTCAGAAACTTCTTTGTCATGTTTGCATTCAACTCACAGAGTTGAAACTTGCTTTCATAGTTCAGGTTTGAAACACCCTTTT
>NT_187415.1:0-2043 GCF_000001405.40 Homo sapiens
AAACTTTGAGGCCAATGATGAAAAAGGAAATATCTTCTCATAAAAACTAGACAGAAGCATTCTGCGAAACTTCTTTGTGATGTGTGCATTCAACTCACAAAGTTGAACATTCCTTTAGATAGAGCAGTTTTGAAACACTCTTTTTGTAGGTTCTGCCCGTGGATATTTGGACTGCTTTGTGGAATTCTTTGGAAATGGGTATATCCTCATAAAAACTAAACAGAAGCATTCTCAGAAACCTCTTTGTGATGAGTGAATTCAACACACAGAGTTGAAGATTGCTTTTTATAGAGCAGTTTTGAAACACTCTTTTTGTAGAATCTGCAATTTGACGTATGGAGCGCTGTGAGGCATATGGCGAAAAAGCAAATATCGACATATAAACACTAGATAAAAGCATTCTCAGAAACTTCTTTGTGTTGTGTACATTCAACTCACAGAGTTGAACATTCCTGTTGATTAAGCAGATTTGAAACACTCTTTTTGTAGAATCTGCACTTGGATATTTGGAACGCTTTGTGGAATTAATTGGAAACGGTTATATCTTCACAGAAAAACTAGACAGAAGGATTCTCAGAAACTTCTCTGTGATGAGTGCATTCGACTTACAGAGTTGAACATTCCTTTTGATAGAGCAGTTTTGAAACACTCTTTTTGTAGGATCTGCAAGTGGACATTTAGAGGGCTTTGAGGCCTAAGGTGAAAAAGGAAATATCTTCTAATAAAAACTAGACAGAAGCATTCTCAGAAACTTCTTTGTTATGTGTGCATTCAACTCACAGAGTTGAACATTCCTTTATATAGAGCAGTTTTGAAATACTTCTTTGAAGAATCTGCAAGTGGATATTTGGACCACTTTGTGGAAATCGTTGGAAACGGGTATATTTTAACATCAAAACTAGACAGAAGCATTCTCAGAAATTTCTTTGTGACTTGTGCTTTCAACTAGTAGAGTTGAACCTTTCTTTAGGTAGAGCAGTTTTGAAACACTATTTTTGCAGAAACTGCAAGTGGACATTTGGTGCGCTTTGAGGCCTATGGTGAAAAAGGAAATATCTTCACATAAAAACCAGACAGAAACATTCTCAGACACATCTTTGTGATGTGTGCATTGAACTAATAGAGTTGAACCTTTCTTTTGATAGAGCAGTTTTGTAACACGCTTGTTGTGATATCTGCAAGTGGACATTTGGAGCGCTTTGAGGCCTATGGAGAAAAAGGAAATAACTTCACATAAAAAGGAGACAGAAGCATTCTCTGAGACTTCTTTGTGATGTGTGCTTTCAAATCACAGAGTCGAACATTCCTTTTGATAGAGCAGTTTTGAGACACTCTTTTTGCAGAATCTGCACATGGATATTTGGACCGCTTTGTGGAATTAATTGGAAACGTGTATATCCTCATATAAAAACTAGACAGAAGCATTCTCAGAAACTTCTTTGAGATGTGTGCATTCAACTCACACAGATGAACATTCCTTTGATACAGCAGTTTTGAAACACTCTTTTGTAGATTCTGCAACTGCATATTTGCAGTGATTTGAGGCCTATTGGGAAAAAGGAAATATCTTCACATAAAAACTGCACAGAAGCATTCTCAGAAACTTCATTGTGATGTGTGCATTCAACTCACAGAGTTGAAATATTCTTTTGATAGAGCAGTTTTGTAACACTGTTGTTATAGAATCTGCAAGTGGACATTTGGAGGGCCTTGAGGCCTATGGTGAAAAAGGAAATATCTTCTCATAAAAAAATAGACAGAAGCCTTCTCAGAAACTTCTTAGTGATGTGTGCATTCAACTCACAGGCTTCAACATTCTTTTTGATAGTGCAGTTTTGAAACACTCTTTTTGTAGAATCTGCAAGTGGACATTTGGAGCACATTGAGGCCTATGGAGAAAAAGGAAATATCTTTACATAGATAGTGGATAATTGGAGCGATTTGTGTAATTCATTGGAAACAGGAATATCCTAACATAAAAACTAGACAGAAGCATGCTCAGAAACTTCTTTGGATTGTGCATTCAATTCACAGAGTTTAACA
>NT_187416.1:0-1445 GCF_000001405.40 Homo sapiens
ATCCAATCATCACAAAGAATTTTCTGAGTGCTTCCGTTTGGATTTTAGGTGAAGTTATTTCCTTTAGTACCGTAGGCCTCAATGCAGTCCAAATCAGCAATCACAGATTCTACAAAAAGAGTGTTTACAAACTGCTCTATCCATTGGAAGGTTCAACTCTGTGAGTCAAATGCAATCATCATAAAGTAGATTCTCAGAATGCTTCTATCTACTTTTTATATGCAGATATTAACGTTTCCGCCACAGGCCTCAAAGCCCTCCAAATGTCCACTTGCAGATTCAAGAAAAGCAATGTTTCATAGCTGCTCTGTCAAGAGGAAATTTCACTCTGCAAGTTGAACACAAACGTCATAAAGTAGTTTCTGAGAATGCTTCTGTTTAGTTTTTCTGTGAAGAAGAACCCGTTTCCAACGAAATCTTCAAAGAGGTCCACACATCCACTTGCAGATTCCAAAGAAAGAGAGTTTCAAAACTGCTCCATCAACAGGATTGCTCACCTGTGTGAGTTGAATGCAGTCATCACAGGAAACATTCTGAGAATGCTTCTGTCTAGGTTTGATGTGAAGATATACCCGTTTCGAAGGAAGGCCTCAAAGTGGTCCAAATATCCACTAGCAGATTCTACAAAAAGAGTGTTTGAAAGCTGAACTATGAAAGCAAGGTTCAACTCTGTGAGTTGAATGCAAACATCACAACGAAGTTTTTGAGAATGATTCCGTGTAGTTCTGGGAAGTTTATCCCGTTTCCAACGAAATCTTCAGAGAGGTCCAAATATCCACTTGCAGATTCTACAGAAAGTGTGTTTGGAAACTGCGCCATCTAAAGGAATGTTCAGCTCTCTGAGTTCAAACCAACCATCACAAAGGATTGTCTGTGAATGCTTCCGTTTGGTTTTTAGATGAAGTTATTTCCTTTACTACAGTAGGCCTCAAAGCAGTCCAAATCTCCAATCGCAGATTCTACAAAAAGATTGTTTACAACCTGCTCTATCTATAGGAATGTTCAACACTGTGAGTCGAATGCAATCATCACAAAGTAGTTTCTGAGAATGCTTCTATCTAGGTTTTATGTGAAGATATTTCCTTTTCCACCACAGGCCTCAAAGCCCTCCAAATGTCCACCTGCAGATTCTAGAAAAAGAGGGTTTCAGAGCTGCTCTGTCAAGAGGAAAGTTCAATTCTTGAAGTGGAACACAAACATCACAAAGCAGTTTCTGAGAATGCTTCTGTTTAGTTTTTATGTGAAGATGAACCCGTTTCCAAGGAAATCTTCAAAGAGGTCCACATATCCACTTGCAGATTCCAAAGAAAGAGAGTTTCAAAACTGCTCCATCAACAGGATTGTTCACCTCTGTGCGTTGAATGGAGTCATCACAGGAAACATTCTGAGAATGCTTCTGTCTAGGTTTGATGTGAAGATATACCCCGTTGTCGAAGGAAGGCCTC
>NT_187417.1:0-981 GCF_000001405.40 Homo sapiens
AGATTTCGTTGGAACGGGATAAACTTCCCAGAACTACACGGAATCATTCTCAAAAACTTCATTGTGATGTTTGCATTCAACTCACAGAGTTGAACCTTGCTTTCATAGTTCAGCTTTCAAACACTCTTTTTGTAGAATCTGCTAGTGGATATTTGGACCACTTTGTGGCCTTCCTTCGAAACGGGTATATCTTCACATCAAACCTAGACAGAAGCATTCTCAGAATGTTTCCTGTGATGACTGCATTCAACTCACAGAGGTGAGCAATCCTGTTGATGGAGCAGTTTTGAAACTCTCTTTCTTTGGAATCTGCAAGTGGATGTGTGGACCTCTTTGAAGATTTCGTTGGAAACAGGTTCTTCTTCACAGAAAAACTAAACAGAAGCATTCTCAGAAACTACTTTATGACGTTTGTGTTCAACTTGCAGAGTGAAATTTCCTCTTGACAGAGCAGCTATGAAACATTGCTTTTCTTGAATCTGCAAGTGGACATTTGGAGGGCTTTGAGGCCTGTGGCGGAAACGTTAATATCTGCATATAAAAACTAGATAGAAGCATTCTGAGAATCTACTTTATGATGATTGCATTCGACTCACAGAGTTGAACCTTCCAATGGATAGAGCAGTTTGTAAACACTCTTTTTGTAGAATCTGTGATTGCTGATTTGGACTGCATTGAGGCCTACGGTACTAAAGGAAATAACTTCACCTAAAATCCAAACGGAAGCATTCACAGAAAATTCTTTGTGATGATTGGATTGAACTAAGAGAGCTGAACATTCCTTTAGATGGCGCAGTTTCCAAACACACTTTCTGTAGAATCTGCAGGTGGATATTTGGACCTCTCTGAGGATTTCGTTGGAAATGGGATAAACTTCCCAGAACTACACGGAAGCATTCTCAGAAACTTCTTTGTGATGTTTGCATTCACTCACAGAGTTGAACCTTGCTTTCATAGTTCAGCTTTCAAACACTCTTTTTG
>NT_187418.1:0-1884 GCF_000001405.40 Homo sapiens
GGGTTCATCTTCACATAAAACTAAACAGAAGCATTCTCAGAAACTATTTTGTGATGTTTGTGTTCAACTTCCGGAAATGAACTTTCCTCTGGAAAGAGCAGCTATGAAACGCTCTTTTTCTAGAATGTGCAAGTGGACATTTGGAGGGCTTTGAGGCCTGCGGTGGAAAGGGAAATATCTTCACATGAAAACTAGATAGAAGCATTCTCAGATACCACTTTGTGATGATTGCATCGGACTCACAGAGTTGGACATTCCTATGGATAGAACAGTTTGTAAACACTCTTTTTGTAGAATCTGCAATTGGAGATTTGGACGGCTTTGAGGCCTATGGAAGTAAAGGAAATAACTTCACATAAAAAGCAAACGGAAGCATTCACAGAAAATTCTTTGCGATGATTGTATTTAACTGAGAGAGCTGAACATTCCTTTAGATGGAGCAGTTTCCAAACACACTTTTTGTAGGATCTGCAGGTGGATATTCGGACCTCTCTGAGGATTGCATTGGAAACGGGATAAACTTCCCAGAACTACACGGAAGCATTCTCCGAAATTTCTTTGTGATGTTTGCATACAACTCACAGAGTTGAACATTCCTTTCATAGTTCAGCTTTGAGACAGTCTTTTGGTAGAATCTGCAGGTGGATATTTGGACCACTGTGAAGCCTTCGTTCGAAACGGTTATACCTTCACGTAAAAACTCAAGAGAAGCATTCTCAGAAACTTCTGTGTGATGATTGCATTCAGGTCACAGAGTTGAACCCTCCATTTGATTGAGCAGTTTGGAAACTCTCTTTTTGTAGAATCTGTAAGAGGATATGCGGACTTCTTTGAAGATTCCTTTGGAAACGGGAATATCTTCACAGAAAAACTAAACTCAAGCATTCTCACAAACTTCTTTGTGATGTTTGTGTTCGGGTCACACAGTTTAACCTCGCTTTTCACAGAGTGGTTTTGAGACACTCCTTTCGTAGAATCTGCAAGTGGACATGTGGAGGGCAGTGAGGCCTTAGGTGGAAAAGGAAATATCTTCCCATAAAAACTACAGAGAAGGATCCTCAGCAACTTCTTTGTGATGATTGCATTAAACTCACAGAGTTGAAGGTTCCTTTTGACAGAGCAGTTTTGAAACACTCTGCTTATAGAATCTGCAAGTGGATATTTGGAAAAATTTGAGGCCTATGGTAGTAAAGGAAATATCTTCATACAAAAACTAGACAGATGCATTCTCAGAAACTTCTTTGTGTTTAGTGAATTCAACTCACAGAGTTGAACATTCCTCTTGATGAGATAGTTTTGAAACACACTTTTGTAGAATCTGTAAGTGGATATTTGGACCTCTTTGAGTATTTCGTTGGAACACGCATAGACTTCAAATTACTAAACGGAAACATTCTCAGAAAATTCTTTGTGATGTTTGCATTCAACTCACAGAGTTGAAACTTCCTTTGATAGTTCACGTTTCAAACAAACACTCTTTTTGTAGAATCTGCAAGAAGACATTAAGAGTGCTGTGTGGCCAGTGGTGGTAAAGGAAATATCTTCACATAAAAAGAAGATAGAAGAATTCTCAGAAAATTCTCTCTGATGATTGCATTCAACTCACAGAGTTGAACATTCCGTTTGGAACAACAGTTTTGAAACACTGTTTTTGTAGAATCTGCAAGGGGATATTTGGACGTCTTTGAAGATTTCGTTGGAAGCGGGATTGTCTTCACATAAAATCTAAACAGAAGCATTCTCGGAAATTTCTATCTGATGTTTGCATTCAACTCACAGAGTTGAACATTCCTTTTGATGGAGCAGTTTTGAAACACTCTTTTTCTAGAGTCTGCAAGTGGACATTTGGAGGGCTTTGAGGCCTGTGGTGGAAAAGGAAATATC
>NT_187419.1:0-1361 GCF_000001405.40 Homo sapiens
CGTTCACTCACAGATTTTAACCTTTCTTTTCATAGAGCAGTCTGGAAACACTCTGTTTGTAAAGTCTGCAAGAGGATATTTGGACCTCTTTGAGCCCTTCTTTGGAAACGGGATTTCTTCATATACTGCTAGACAGAATAAATCTTAATAACTTCCTTGGGTTGTGTGTATTCAACTCATAGAGTTGAAACTTCCTTTAGAGAGAGCAGATGTGCAATACTCTTTTTTGTGATATTTGCACGTGGAGATTTCTAGCGCTTTTAGGCCAAAAATAGAAAAGGAAATACCTTTGTACAAAAACTATACAGAATCATTCTGAGAATCTACTTTGTGATGTGTGCATTCAATTCACAGAGTTTAACCTTTCCTTTGATTGTGCAGTTTGGAAACCCTCTCTTTGTAAATTCTGCAAGTGGATATATGGACCTCTTTTTGGCCTTCGTTGGAAAAGGTATTTCTTCATTGAATGTTAGACAGAAGAATTCTCAGTACCTTATATGTGTTGTGTGCTTTCAACTCACAGTGTTGAACCTTCCTTTACATAAAGCAGATTTGAAACATTCTTTTTGTGGATTTCCCAGGTGGAGATTTCAATCGCCTCGAGGCCAATGGTAGAAAAGGTAATATCTTCATATAAAAACAAGACAAAATCGTTCTCTGAAACTACTTTGTGATGTGTGCGTTCAACTCACAGAGTTTAATCTTTCTTTTCATAGAGCAGTTTGGAAACACTCTGTTTGTAATGTCTGCAAGTGGATATTTTGATCTATTTGAGGCCTTCGTTGGAAACGGGATTTTTTCATGTAATGCTAGAAAGAAGAATCCTCAGTAACTTCTTTGTGTTGCATGTATTCAACTCACAGAGGTGAACCATCCTTTAGACGGAGAAGATGTGAAACACTCTTTTTGTTAAATTTGCAGGTGGAGATTTCAAGCGATTTGAGGCCAACGGTAGGAAAGGAATTATCTTCGTATAAAAGGTAGACAGAATCATTCTCAGAAACTATTTTGTGATGTGTGCATTCAACTCACAGAGTTTAAATTTTCTTTTCATAGAGCAGTTCGGAAATACTCTGTTTGTAAGGTGTGCAAGTGGATATTTGGACCTCTTTGAGCCCTTCTTTGGCAACGGGATTTCTTCTTATATTGCTTGACAGAAGAATTCTCAGTAACTTTTTGTGTTGTGTGTATTCCACTCACAGACTTGAACCTTCCTTTAGAGAGAGGAGATTTGACACACTCTTTTTGTGGAATTTCCAGATGGAATTTTCAGTTGCTTTGAGGCCAATGACAGAAAAGGAAATATTTTCGTATAAAAACTAGACAGAATCTTTCTGAGAAACTACTTTGTGATGTGTGCA
>NT_187420.1:0-3130 GCF_000001405.40 Homo sapiens
AATGGAAGGGAATGGAATGGAATGGAATGGAATGGAATGGAAGGGAATGGAATGGAATGGAAGGGATTGGAATGGAATGGAATGGAAGTGAATGGAATGGAATGGAGTGCAATGGAATGGAATGGAATGGAATGGAATGCAAAGCAATGGAATAGAATGGAATGGAATGGAAGGGAAGGGAATAGAATGGAATAGAATGGAAGGGAATGGAACGGAATGGAATGGAATGGAATGGAATGGAATGGAATGGAATGCAATGGAATGGAAAGAAATGGAATCGAATGGAATGGGATCGAATGGAATGGAATCAAATGGAATGGAATCAAACGGAATGAAATCAAATGGAAACAAATGGATTCGAATGGAATGCAGTGAAGCGGAGTGGAATAGAGTGGAATGGATTGGAATGTAGTGCGGAGAAATGGAATTGATAGGAATGGAGTGGAGTGGAGCAGAATGGAGGAGAATATTATGCAATATGAATGAATGGAATTGAACAGAGTGGAGTGCAGTGGAGTGGAGTGGAGTGGATTGTAATGGAATGCACTGCAATGTGATGCAATGGAATGGAGTGGATTGGAATCAAATGCAGTGGAATGGAATGGAATGAATTGGAATGGAATGGAATGGAGTGGAATGGAATGGAGTGTAATGGAATGGAATGGAATGTACTCGAGTGGATTGCACTTGAATGGAGTGGACTTGAATCTGATGGAATGGAATGGAATGGAAAGATATCGAATTGAATAGAATGGAATGCAAGGGAATGGAATAAAATGGTATGGTATGGAATGGAATGGACTCAAATGTAATTGACTGGGATGGAATGGACTCGTATGGAACGGAATCGAATGGAGCGGACTCGAAAGGTATTGACTCGAATGCAATGGAATCAATTGGAATAGAATCGAATTGAATGCAATCAAATGGAAGGGAATTGAAAGGAAAGTAATAGAAAGGAATGGACTGGAACGCAATGGACTGGAAATGAATGGAATCGAATGGAATGGACTGAAATGGAAAGGATTCGAATGGAATGAAAAAGAACGGAATGGAATGGAATGGAATGGAATGGAATGGAATGGAACGGAACAGAATGGAATGGAATGGAATGGAACCGAATGGAATGGAAAGAAATGAAATGCAATGGAATGGATTGGACTCCAATGTAATGAACTCGAATGGAAAACATTCAAATGGAATGGAATCAAATGGACTGGAATTGAATGGAATGGGATTGAATGGAGTGGGATCGAATGGAGTGGAATCGAAGGGAGTGGAATGGAATGGAATGGAATGGAATAAAATGGAATGGAATGGAATGGAGTGGAATACAATGGACTACAATGGAAAGGACTCAAAAGGAATGGAAACAATAGGAATTGAATTGAATGAATGGAATCAAATGGAATGGGATCGAATGGAATGGAACCGAATGGAATGGAGTGGAGTGCAGTGGAATGGAGCAGAATGGAATGGAATGAGAAGGAAAGGATTTGAATGGAGGGGAGTGGAACGGAGAGGAGTAGAGTGAAGCGGAATGGAATGGAGTGGAGTGGATAGGAATGTAGTGGAGTGAAGTGGAATGGAGTGGAGTGGTATGGAGTGGAATGGAATGGAAGAGGAAAGAGTGGAATGGAACGGAGTGGAGTGGATTGGAGTGGATTTGAATGGAATGCAATGGAATGGAATGGAATGGAGAGGAATGGACTGGAATGTAGTGGAATACAATGAGTATGGCAGGAATGGAAGGGAGTGGAGTGGAGTGTAATGGAATGGAATGGACTCGATCACAATGGACTTGAATGGAATGGACTCGAATGTAATGGAATGGAATGCAGTGGAAAGATATCGAATGGGATGGAATGGAATGGAAAGGAATGGAATGGAGTGGAGTGGAATGGAATGGAATGGAATGGACTCGATCACAATGGACTTGAATGGAATGGACTCGAATGTAATGGAATGGAATGCAGTGGAAAGATATCGAATGGGATGGAATGGAATGGAAAGGAATGGAATGGAGTGGAGTGGAATGGAATGGAATGGAATGGACTCGATCACAATGGACTTGAATGGAATGGACTCGAATGTAATGGAATGGAATGCAGTGGAAAGATATCGAATGGGATGGAATGGAATGGAAAGGAATGGAATGGAAAGCATTGGAGTGCAATCGAATGGAATGGAATCGAACGGAATGGAATTGAATGGAATCAAATGGAATAGATTGGAATGGAATGGAATGGAATGAGGTGGAAACGAATGGAAGGGAATGGAATCAAATGGAATGGAATGCAATGGACTACAATGGAAAGGACTAAAATGGAAGGAAACGAAAGGAATTGAATAGAATGGAATGGAATCGAATGGAATGGAACTGAACGGAATGGAATGGATTGGAGTGCAATGGAATGGTCTCGAATGGAATGGAATCAAATGGAATGGATTCTAATAGAAGGGAATCGATTGGAATGGAACCGAATGGAATGGAAGAGAATGGCATCGAATGGAACCGAAAGAAATGCGGTGAAATGGAGTGGAGTGGAGTGGAATGGAGGGGAAAGGAATGGGGTGAAATGGAATTGAATGGAGTGGGGTTGAGTTGAGTCTAAAGCAGTGCAATGTAATGGAATGTGAAGGAATGGAATTGTATGTAGTGAAGTGGATTGGAGTGGAGTGGAATGGAATGCAACAGAATGGAATGGAGTGGAGTGGAAGGTAATGGAGAGGAGCGCAGGGTAATGGTATGGACTGGACTGGAATGGAATGGAGTGGAATGGAATGGACTCGAGTGGAATAGACTCGAATTGAATGGACTCGAGTTGAATGGAATCAAATCAAATGGAATGGAATGGAATGGAATGGACTCGAATGGAATGGAATCGAGTGGAATGGACTCGAGTCGACTGGAATTGAATGGAATGGACTCTATTGGAATGGACTAGAATGGAATGGGCTCGAAGGGAATGGACTCGAATCAAACAGAATCAAATAGAAAGAAGTGGAATGGAATGGGCTCGAATGGATTCGACAGGAATGGAATGGGATCAAATGAAACGGAATCGAATGGAAAGCAATCAAATGAAAAGTAATGGAATGGAATGGAGTGAAATGGAATGGACTCAAG
>NT_187420.1:3451-4555 GCF_000001405.40 Homo sapiens
AATGGAATGGCGTGGAATGGAATAGACTTGAATGGAATGGACAGGAAATGGAATGGACTCAAAAGGAATGTAATGGAATGGAATGAAATGTAATGTAATGTAATGGGATTGGAATAGAATCAAATGGAAAAGAATGGATTCCAATATAATGGAATCGAATGGAATGGAATCGAATGGAATGAAATCGAACATAATGTAATGGAATGGAATGGAATCAAATGGATTGGAATCGAATGGAATGAGCTCGAACAGTACAGAATCGAACAGAATGGGATCAAATGGATTGGAATCGAATGTAATGGAATCAAATGAAATGGCCTGGAATGGAATGGACTCGAATGGAATGGACTCGAAAGGAATGGATGCGAAGGGAATGGAATCGAGTGGAATGGAATTGAATGGAATGCAACAGAATGGAATGAACTGGAATGGAATGGAGTGGAATAGAATGGACGTGAATGGAATGGATTGCAATGGAATGGACTGGAAATGAATGGAATCGAATGAAATAGAAAAGAATGAAATTCTTTTCCTTTCTAGAATGGAAAGAAACGGAATGGAATGGAATGGAATGGAATGCAATGGAATGGAACGGAATGGAATGGAATGCAATGGAATGGAATGGAAGGGTATTGAATACAACGGAATCGAAAGAAATGCAGACGAATGGAATGGTATCAAATGTAATGGAAGCGAATGGAAGAGAATCGAATGTAATGGAATTTAATTGGATGGAATGGAATGGAATGCAATGCAACGGAATGGAAATTAATGGAATGGAATGGAATGGAACGGAATGGAATAGAAAGAAAAGGACTGGAATGGAATGGAAATGAATGGAATGGAATCGAATGGAATGGAATGGAATCGAATGGAATGGAATCGAATGGAATGGAATGGAATCGAATGGTATGGAATCGAATGGAATGGAATGGAATCGAATGGTATGGAATCAAATGGAATCGAATTAAATGGAATGAAATCAAATGGAATTGAATGCAATCAAATGGAAAGCGGTGAAGCACAGTGGTTTGGAGTGGAATGTAATGGTGTGAAATGGAATTGAATGGAGTGGAGTCAAGTGTAGTGGAATGGAGTGGAATG
>NT_187420.1:9237-11236 GCF_000001405.40 Homo sapiens
ATGGAATTGAATGGAGTGGAGTGGAATGAAGTGGAGTGAAGTGGAATGGAATGGAAAGGAATGAAATGGAGTGGAGTGGAGTGGAATGGAATGCAGTGGAATAGAATGGATTAAAATGGAATTGGCACGAATGGAATTGGCTCAAACGGAATGGACTTGAACGGAAAGCATTTGAATGGAACGGAATCGAATGGAATGGATTGGAATGGAATGGAATCGAATGGAATGGAATCGAATGGAATGGAATCGAATGGCATTAAATGGAATTGAATGGACTTCGGTGAAGTGGAGTCTATTGGAATGGAATGGAGTGGAATGGAATGGGGTGGAATTGAATTGAATGGAGTGAAATGGAGAGGAGTGGAATGGAATGGAATGTGAAGGAATGGGATTGAACGGAGGGGAATAGAATGGAGTGGAGTGGAGTGGAATGCAATGGAATGGAATGGAATTAAGTGGAGTGGAGTGCAGTGGAGTGGAGTGGAATAGAGTGGAATGGAATGGATTGGAAGGGATTGGCATGGAATGGATTGGAAAGGAATGGAGTGGAATGGAATGGATTGGAAGGGATTGGCATGGAATGGATTGGGAGGGAATGGACTGGAATGTAATGGACTCGAATGCAATGGAATTGAATGGAAAGTAATCGAATGTAATGGTCTGTAATGGAATGGAGTCGTATGGATTGGAATCGAATGGAAAGGAATCAAATGGAATGCAATCGAGGGAATGGAACCGAACGGACAGGAATTGAATGGACTGGAAACGAAGGAAATGGAATCGAAAGGAATGGAATCAAATGGAATGGAATCGAATGGAATGGCATTGAAAGGTATCAAATGGAATGCGATGAAGTGGAGGGGAGAGGTGTGGAATGAAGTGGAATGGAATGGGATGGAATGGAATTCAACGGATTGGAGTGGAGTGGAATGGAATGGAATGGAATGGAATGGAGTGGAGTGGAGTGTAGTGAAGTGGTGTGGAGTGGAATGAAATGGAATGGAATGGAAAGGGCTGGAGTAGTATGGAATGCAATGGAGAGGAGTGTAGTGGAATGGAAAGGAATGGAATGGAGTAGGGTGGAGGGCAGTGGAGAGGAGTGGAGTGGAGTGGAATGGAGTGAACTAGAGTGGAGTGGAGTGGAATGGAATGGAGTGGAGGGGAGTGGAGCATAGTAGAATAGAGTGGAATGGAATGGAGTGGAGTGGAACGGAGTGGAGTGGAGTGGAATGGAATGGAATGGAATTGAATGGAATGAAGTGGAGTGGAATGGTATGGAATGGAAAGGAATGAAATGGAATGGACTCGAACGGAATGGACTCAAATGGAATGGACTGGAATGGAATGGACTGGAATGTAACGGAATCAAATAAAAAGGAATTGAATGGAATGGACTCAAATGGAATTGAATCGAATGGAATGTAATTGAATGAACTGGAAACGAATGGATAGCATCAAATGTAATCGAATGAAATGTGTTGAAGTGGAGTGGAGTGGACTAGAATGGAGTGGAATGGAATACGACGGAATGCAATGGAGTGGAGTGGAGTGGAGTCAAGTGGAGTGAAGTGGAGTGGTTTGCAGTGGAGTTGAAAGGAATGGAATTGAATGGGATGGACTGGAATGGATTGGACTGCAATGGAATGGACTCGAATGGAATGGAAGGGAATGGAATGGACTGGAATGGAAGGGACTCGAATGCAATGGACTCAAACTGAGTGGAATCAAATTGAATAGAATGGAATCGAAAGGAATCAAATGGAATGGAATCGAATAGAATAGAATCAAATAGGATCAAATGGAATCGAATGGGATTGAATGGAAAGCGGTGACATTGGGTGGAGAGGAGAGGAATTGAGTGGAATGGAATGGGGTGGAACGCAATTGAATGGAGTAGCTTGGAGTGAAGTGGTATTGAGTGGAATGGAATGGAATGGGAAGGAATGGAATTGAATGGAGTGGAGTGGAATGGAGTGGAGTGGAGTGGAATGGAATGGAA
>NT_187420.1:11256-20549 GCF_000001405.40 Homo sapiens
AACTGATGGAACGGAATCGAATGCAATCGAATGCAATGGAATACAATACAATGGAATAGAAAGGAAAGGAAATAAATGGCATCGAATAGCATCGAATGGAATGCAGTGAAGTTGAGTGCACTTGAGTGGAGTGGTGTGGAAAGGAATGAGGTGGAATTCAATTGAATGGAGTGGATTGTAATGAAGTAGAATGGAGTTGAAAGCTATGGAATGAGAAGGAATACAATGGAATGGAATGGAGTGCAGTGGATTGGAGTGGAATGGAACGGTATGTTATAGTGTGGAATGGAGTGGAGTGGAGTGGCGTGGAGTGGAATGTAATGGAATGGAGTCGAGTGGAGTAGAGTGGAGTGGACTGGAATAGAGTGGAATGGAAAGGAATGGAGTGGAATTCTGTGGAGTAGAGTGAAGTGGTATGCGATGGAATAGAAAGAAATGGAGTGGATTGGGATGGAGTGCAGTGGAATGGACTGGAATGGATTGAAATGGAATGCAGTGGAGTGGACTGGAATGGAGTGGAATGGAGTGGAATGAAATGTATTTCATTGAAATGGAATGGAATGGTATGGAGTGGAGTGGAGTGTTGTGGAGTGGAGTGGAGTGGAATGGAATGGAATGAAATGGAATGGAATGGAAAGGAATGGACTGGAATGGAATGGAACGGAATGCAATGGAATCGACTGGACTGGAATGGAATCGGATGGAAAGGCATCGAACGCAATGGAATCGAATTGAATTGAATCAAGTGGAATGGAAACAAATTGAATGGAATCGAAAGGAATGGAATCAATTGGAATGGATTCGAACGACATCGAATGGAATTGAAAGGAATGTGGTGAAGTGGAGTGGAAAGAAATGGAGTGGAAAGGAATGGGGTGGAATGGAATTGAATGGAGTGGAGTGGAGTGGAGTGGAATGGAGTGGAATGGGAAGGATTGTTATTGAACGGAGTGGAGTGGAGTGGGGTGCAATGGAATGGAATGGAATGGAGTGGAGTGGAATGGAGACGGGTGGAGTGAAATAGAATGAAAAGGAGTGGAGTGGAACGCAATGGACTTTTAGGGAATGGAATGGACTCGAATGGAATGGACTCGAATGGAATGGGCTGGAATGGAATGGGATCGAAAGGAATGGAATCGAATGGAATGGAATCGAATGGAATTAAATGGAATCGAAAGGAATGCGGAGAAGCGGAGTGGATTGGAGTGGAATGGAGTGGAATGGAATGGGACGGAATGGATTTGAAGGTAGTTTAGTGCCATGGAGTGGAATGGAGTGGAATGGAATGGACTCGATGGGAATGGACTCTAATGGAATGGACTCAAATGGAATGGAATCAAATGGAATGGAATGGAGTGGAATGGAGTGATATTGAATGAAATGGAATGGAAAAGAATGGACTCAAATGAAATGGACTCGAATGGATTGGACTCGAATGGAATGGACTCGAATGGAAGGGACTTCAATAGAATGGACAGAAAAGGAATGGAATAGAATGGAATGGAATCGAGTGGAATGGAATAGAATGGAATGCAATGGAATGGAATGAAATTGAATAGAATGGGATCGAATGGAATGGACTGGATGGAATGGACTCAGATGGAATTTATTCGAATTGAATGGACTCGAATGTAATGGAATTGAGAGGAATGAAATCGAATGAAATGGAATCAAATGGAATGGAAAAGAAAAGAATGGAATTGAACCGAATGGAATGTAATTGAATGGAATGAAATCGAATGGATTAGAATTGAATGGCATGGAAAGGAATGGACGGAATGGAATGGACTCAAATGGATTTGAAGGGAATGGAATGGACTGGAATGGAATGGACACGAATGGATCGGACTCGAATGGAATGGAATGGAATGGACTCAAATGGAATGCACACGAATAGAATGGACTGGAATAGAAAGGACTCGAAAGGAAAGGCGTCCAATGGAATTGACTGGAATGGAAGTGACTGAAATGGAATGGACTGGAATGGAATGGACTCGAATGGAATGGCATGGAATGGAATGGAACGGTCTCGAATGAAATGGAATTGAATGGAATGGAAAAGAATGGAATGTAATCGATGGGATAGGAAGGGAGTGGAATGGAATGGAATCGAATACACTGGAATGGAATGGAATCAAATCCAATGGAATGTCATTGAATGCTATGGAATGGAATGGAAAGCAATGGAATGGACTCGAATTAAATGGACTGGAATGGAATGAACTCGAATGGAATGGATTCGAATGTAATGGAATCGTACGAAATGGAATTGAATGGAATGGAATCAAATGGAATGGAATAGAAAGGAAAGGAATTGAATCGAATGGAATGTAATCAATTACAACAGAATCGAATGGAGTGGAATGGAATGGAATGGAATGCAATCGATTCGAATGGAATGGAATGGAATAAAATCGAATGGAATGGAATCAAATGCAATGGGAACGAATGGACTGGACTGGAACGGAATGGAATCCAATGGATTGGACTGGAACAGAATGGACTTGAATGCACTGGAATCGAAAGGAATGGAATAGAATGGAATGGATTGGAATGGAACGAAAAGGAATGGAATGGAATGGACTCGAATGGACTGGAATGGACTGGAATGGATTTGAATGGAATGGAATCGAATGTAACAGAATGGAATGGAATTGAATGGAATGGAATGGAATGGAATGGACTCGAATAGAATGGACTGGAATAGAATGGACATGAATGGAATGGAAGCAAATGGAATGGAATCCAACGGAATGGAATCCAACGAAATGGAATCTAATGAAATGGAATTCAATAGAATGAAATCGAATGAAATGGAGTGGAATGCAATGGATTCGAAGGAATGGAATCAAATGGAATGGAATCGAATGGCATTGAATAGAATCAAATGGAATGCGGAGAAGTGTAGTGGAGTGGAGTGGAATGGAGTCGAATGGAATGGGTTGGAATGGAATTGAATGGAGTGAAGTGGAGTGGAGTGAAATGGAATGAGGTGGAATGGAATTGAATGGAGTGCAGTTCAGTGGAGTGGAATGTACTGAATTGGAATGGAATGGGAAGGAATGGAATTGAACTGAGTGGAGTGGAGTGAAGTGGCCTGGAGTGGATTGGATTGGAGTGGATTGAAGTGGAATGGAATGAAATAGAATGGAATGGAAAGGAATGGAATGGAATGGAATGGAAAGGAATGGAATGGAATGGAATGGAATGGAAAGGAATGGAATGGAATGGAATGGAAAGGAATGGAATGGAATGATATGGAATGGAAAGGAATGCAATGGAATGGAAATAAATGGAATGGAATGGAATGGCATGGAGTGGAGTGGAGTGGAGTGGAATGGAATGGAATGGAATGGGAAGAAATGGAATTAAACGGAGGGGAATGGAGTGGAGTGCATTAGAAAGAAATGGAATGTCGTGGAATGGGGTGGACTGGAGTGGAGTGGAGTGGAATCCAATGGAATTGAAAGGAGTGTAGTGGAGTGTAGTGGAGAGGTTTGGAGTGGAGTTGAATGGAGTGGAGTGGAGTGGAGTGGAGTGGAAAGGAGAGGAATGGAATGGAATGGGAAGGAATGAAAATGAGCAGAGAGGAGTGGAGTGGAGTGGAGTGGAATGGACTGGAATGGAATAGAATGCAATGGAATGAAATGGAATAGAATGGAAAGGAGTGGAATGGATTGGAATTGAATGGAATGGACTGGAATGGAATGGACTCGAATGGAAAGGAATCGATTGGAATGGAATGGAATCGAATAGAAATGAATGAAATAGAAAGGAATCGAATGGTATCTTATGGAATGCAATCGAAAGGAATGGAATCGAATGGAATGGACTGGTGTGGAATGATCTCGAAAGGAAGGGACTGAAACGGAATTAATTGAAATGGACTGGAATCGAATGGAATGTAGTCGAATGGAATGGAATCTAATGGAATGGAATCAAATGGAATGGAATCCAATGGATTGGAATCGAATGGCGTGGAATGAAATTGAATGGAAAGTGGTGAAGTAGAGTATAGTGGAGTGGAATGGATTGGAATTGAATGGAATGGACAGGAATGGAATAGACTCAAATGGAATGGAATTGATTGGAATGGAATAGAATGGAATGGAATAGAATCGAATGAAATAGAATGGAAAGGAATGTTATCTTATGGAATGCAATCGAAAGGAATGGAACCGAATGGAATGGACTGGAATGGAAAGATCTCGAAAGGAATGTACTGAAATGGAATTAATTAAAATGGACTGGAATCGAATGGAATGTAGTCAAATGGAATGGAATCCAATGGAATGGAATAAAATGGAATGGAATCCAATGGATTGGAATCGAATGGCATGGAATGAAATTGAAAGGAATGTGGTGAAGTAGAGTGTAGTGGAGTGGAATGGAGTAGGATGGAATGGGGTGGGATGGAATTGAATGCAGTGGAGTGGAGTGAAGTGGAAGGGAGTGCAATGAAAAGGAGTGGGAAGGGTTGGAACTGAACACAGTTGAGTGGAGTGGATTTAACTGGAATGGAATGGAATGGAATGGAATGGACTCGAATTCAATTGAATGGAATGGAATGGAAGAGAATTGAATGGAATGGACTCACATGTAATGGACTGGAATGGAATGAACTTGAAAAGAATGGACTAGAATGGAATGGAATCGTACGGAAAGGAATCGAATGCAGTGGAATCCAATGGAATGGAATAGAAAGGAATGGAATGCAATTGATTGGAAAAGAATTGAATGGAATTGAATCGAATGGAATGGAATCGAATGTAATGGAAACGAAGGGACTGGACTGGAATGGAATGGACTCGAATGGATTGGAGTGGAATGGAATGGACTCGAATGGACGGGAATCGAATGGAATGGAATCTAATGGATTGTAATCGAATGGAATGGATTGCAATGGAATGGAATGGAATGAAATGGAATGGACTCGATTGTATTAGACTGGAATGAAATGGACTCGAATGGAATGGATTCGAATGTAACTGACTCTAAAGGAATGGAATGGAAAGCAATGGACTCGAATATAATGGACTGGAACAGAATGGACACGAATGGAATGGAATCGAAAGGAATGGAATCCAATGGAATGGAATCTAATGGTATGGAATCGAATAGAATGGAATCGAATGGAATGGACAGGAAAGGAATGGAAGCGAATGGAAGAGAATCGAATGATATTGAATAGAATCAAATGGAATGCAGAGAATTGTAGTGGAGACGAGTGGAATGGAGTGCAATTGAATGGGGTGGAAATGAATTTAATGGAGTGTAGTGTAGTGGAGTGAAATGGAATGGCTTGGAAAGGAATTGAATGGAGTGCAGTGCAGTGCAGTGGAATGTATTGAATTGGAATGGAATGGAAAAAAATGGAATTGAACGGAGTGGAGTGGAGTGAAGTGGACTAGAGTGGTGTAGAGTGAAGTGGAATGGAATGAAATAGAATGGAACGGGGTGGAATGGAATGGAATGAAGTGGAGTGGAGTGGAGTGGAATGGAATGGTATGGAATGGGAAGAAATGCAATTAAACGGAGGGGAATGGAGTGGAATGCATTGGAATGCAATGGCATGTAATGGAATGGAGTGTAGTGTAGTGGAGTGGAATTCACTGCAATTGAATGGGGTGCAGTGGAGTGTAATGGAGTGTAATTGAGTGGAATGGACCGGAGTGTAATGGATTGGAATGGAATGGAATGGAATGGACTCGAATGGAAAGGACTTCAATGGAATGGACTCCAATAAAATGGACTCAAAAGGAATGGAAATGAATGGAATGGAATCGAATGGAGTGCAATCAAATAAATGGAATTGAATGGCATATATTGGAATCGAATGGAATGTGGTGAAGTGGAGTGGAGTGGAATGGAATAGGGTGGAATGGAATTGAATGGATTGGAGTGGAGTCCAGTGGAATGGAACGGAATGGGAAATAACTGAATTAAATTCAGTGGAGTGGGATGGAGTGGAGTTTGATGCAATGGAATGTAATGGAAAGTAGTGGAGTGGAGTGGAGTGGAGTGGAATGCAATGGAATGGAAAGGTTTGGAGTGTAATGGAGTGGAATGCAATGGAATGGAAAGGTTTGGAGTGGAGTGAAGAGGAATGTAGTGGAGTGGAGTGGAATGGAGTGGAGTGGAGTGCAAGGGAAAGGAGTGGAATGCAGTGGAGTTGTGTGGAGTGGCATGGAATGGAGTGGAGTGGAATGGAGTGGAGTGGAAAAGAATGTACTGGAATGCAATGGACTGGAATGGAATAGACACGAATGGAGTGGACTCGAATGGAATGAAATGGAATGGAACGGACTCGAATGGGAAGGACTAGACAAGAATGGACTTGAATGGAATGGAAAAAGAATGGAATGGAATTGATTGAAATGGAATCTAATGGAATGGAATCAAATGGAAGGGAATCGAATGGCGTCGAATGGAATCAAATGGAATGAAGTGAAGGGGAGTGGAATGGAGTGGAATGGAGTGGAATGGAATGGGGTTTAATGGAAGTGTATGGCGTGGAGTGGAGTGGAATGGAATGGAATGGGAAGGAATGGAATTGAGCAATGTGGAGTAGAGTGGAGAGAAGTGGAATGGACAGGAATCAAATGGAATGGAATAGAATGTAATGGAGTGGTATGGAGTGGAATTGAATGGAATGGACTGGAATGCAATGGACGCGAATGGAATGGAATTGATTTCAATGGAATAGAATTTAATGGAATGGAATGAAATCGAATGGAATGCAATCAAAAGGAACGGAGTCGAATGGAATGAACTGGAATGGAATGGTCTCGAAAGGAATGGACTAGAATTGAATTGACTGGAATGGACTGGAATCGAATGGAATGGAGTCGAATGGAATGGAATCGAATGGAATGGAATCAAATGGAATGGAATCCAATGGATTGGAATCGAATGGCATGGAATGAATTTGAATGGAATGCAGTGAAGTGGAGTGGAATGGAGTGGAATGGAATGGGGTGGAATGGAATTGAATGGAGTGGAGTGGAGTGGGGTGGAATGGTGTGGAATGGAAAGGAATGGGAAAGATTGGAATAGAACAGAGTGGAGTGGAGTGGAGTAGAGTGGAGTGGACCGGAATAGAATGGAATGCAGTGGAATGGAATATAATGGGATTGAATGGAATTGAACGGAGTGGAGTGGAATGGAGTGGAATGAAATGGAATGGAATGGAAAGGAAAGGAATGGACTCGAATTGAATTGAATGTAATGGAATGGAACAGAATTGAATGGAATCGACTCAAATGGAATGGATTGGCATGGAATGAATTTGAATGGAATGGAATTGAATGCAATGGAATCGAAAGGAATGGAATCGAATGGAAAGGAACCAAATGTAAAGGAATCAAATGGAATTGAATGGAGTGTGGTGAAATGTAGTGGATTACAGTGGAATGGAGTGGAATGGAATGGGTTGGAATGGAATTGAATGGAGTGGAATGGAGTGGAATGGATTGCAATGGAATTGAATGAAGTGGAGAGGACTGGAGTGGAATGGAGTGGAAAGGAATGAAATGGGAAAGAATGGAATTGAATGGAGCGGAGTGGAGTGGTATGGAGTGGAGTAGAAAGCAATAGAATAGAATGGAATGGAATGGACTGCAATGGAGTGGAGTGGAGTGGAATGGAATGGAATGTGGAGGAATGGAGAGGAATTGTACGGAATGGAAAGGAATGCAAAGGAAATGAATGGAAAGGAGTGGAGTGGAATGTTGTGGAGTGGAGTGGAGTACAGTGGAATGGAGTGGAACAGACTGGAATTGAATGGAGTCAACTGGAATAGAATCAAAAGTAATGGAATCAAACGGAATGGAATCGAATGGTATGGAATCAAATGTTATCAAAAGGAATGGACTGGAATGTGGTGAAGTGGAATGGAGTGGAATGGAGTGCAATGCAATGGGGTGGAATGGAATTGAATATAGTGGTGTGGAGTGGAATGAATTGGTGTGTAATGGAATGGAAAGGGAAGGAATGGAATTGAACAGAGTGGAAAGAGGTGGAGTGGAGTGCAGAAGAATGCAAGGGAATGGAATGGAAAGGAGTGGAATTGATTGGAATTGAATGGAATCGAATGGAATGGAATTGAAAGGAATCAAATGGAATGGACAGAAATTGAATGGACTGGAATGGAATGGACTCGAAAGGAACGGACTGCAATGGAATGGACTCTAATGAAGGAAATAGAATGGAATGGAATAGAATGGAATGGAATCGCATGGAATGGAAATGAACGGAATGGAATCGAGTGGAACGGAGTCAAAGAGAATGGAACCGGAAAGAATGGAATCAAATGGAATCGAATGGAATGGAATCAAATGGAATGGAATCAAATGGAATGGAATCTAATGGAAAGGAATCGAATGGCGTTTAACGGAATACGGGGAATTGGTGTGGACTGGAGTGGAATGGAGTGGAACGGACTGATGTGGAACGGAATTCAATGCAGTGGAGAGGAGTGGATTGGAATGGAGTGGAATGGAATGGAAGGCAATGTGAAGGAATTTAATTGAACGGATTGTATTTGAGTGGAGTGGAGTGGAATGCAATGGAATGGAATGTAGTGGAGTGGAATGGAATGGAATGGAATGGATTGGAATGGAATGGAATGGGATGGAATCAAATGGAATGGAAGGGAATTGAATGGAAAAGAATGGAATGGAATTGACTGGAATGGAATGGAACGGATTGAAATGGAGTTGAATGGAATGGAGTGGAGTGGAATTGAATGGAATAGAAGGGAAGGGAAAGTACGAGAACGGAATGGAATGGAATGGATTAGAATGGAATAGAATAGAATGGAATGGAGAAGAATGGAATGGGATGTACTCAAATGGAATGGACGTGAACAGAATGGACTGGAATGGAACGGAATCGAATGAAATGGACTCAAAGGGAATGGAATCGATTGGAATGCAATTGAATGGAATGGAATCAAAAAGAATGGAATCGAATGGAATGAAATCGAAAGGAATAGAATCGAAAGGAGAGGAAACGAATGGCATCTAATGGAATTGAATGGAATGCAGTGAAGTGGAGTGGAGTAGTTTGGAATGGAGTGAAATGGAATGGGGTGGAATGTAATTGAATGGATAGGAGTGGAGTTTAGTGGAATGGAGTGGAATGGAATGGAATGGGAAGGAATGGAATTGAAAGGAGTGGAGTTGAGTTGAGTGGATTGGAGTGGAGTGGAATGCAATGGAATGGAATGGAATGGAGTGGAGTGGAGTGGAAATGAGTGGGATGCAATTGAATGGAATGGAGTGGAGTGATGT
>NT_187420.1:22294-51041 GCF_000001405.40 Homo sapiens
ATTACAAGGAATGTGTTGAAGTGGAGTTCAGTGGAACTAAATGCAGTGGAATTGAATGGTTAGTAATTGATTTCAATGGAGTGTAGTGGAGTGGAATGGAAATGAATGGAATGGAATGGAATGGAATGAAATGGAGTGGATTGGAGTGGAATGGAATGGAATGGAGTGGAATGGAATGGAGGGGTGTGGAGTGGAGTGCAGTGGATGGTAATGGAATGGAATGGAATGGAATGGAATGGATTGGACTTGAATGGAATGGAATTGAATGGAATGGAATCGATTGGAATGGAATCCAATGGGATGGAATCGAATGGACAGGAAGTGAATGGCATTGACTGGAATGCCGTGAGGTGGAGAAGAGAGGAGGGGAATGGAGTGGAAAGGAATGGGGTAGAATGGAATTGAATGTATTGGAGTGAATTGGATTCGAATGGAGTCAATGGAATGAGAAGGAATAAAATTGAATGGAGTGGAGTATAGTGGAGTGGACTAGAATGGAATGAAATGGAATGTAATAGATTGGAAAGGAATGGAATCTAAAGGAATGGAATGGAATAGAATGGACTGGAATGGAGAGGAATTGAATGGATTGGAGAGGAATGGAATGGAAAGCAGTGGAGTGGAATCCACTCAAACGGAATGAATTGGAATGGAATGCACTGGAATGGAATTGAGTCGAATGGACTGGAGTGGAATGGAATAAACTCGAATGGAATGGACTCAAATGGAATGGACTGGAAAGGAAAGGACACGAATGGAATGGAATGGAAGGGGCTCAAATGGAATGGAATCGAACGGAATGGACTGGAATTGAATGGAATTGAATGGAATGGAATCGAACAGAATGGAATTGAATGGAATGGAATGGAACTGAATGAAATGAAATTGAATGGAATTTAATTGAATGGACTGGAATCGAATGGCATAGAATGGAATGGAAGGGAATACGTTGAAGTGCAGGGGATTGGAGTGGAATGCAATTGAATGCAAAGGGATGGAATAGAATGGTTTGAAGTGGAGTGGAGTGGAATGCAATGGAATGGAATGGAGTGTAGTGGAGTGGAGTGTAGTGGAGTAGGGTGGAGTGGAGTAGAGTGGAGTGGAGTGGAATGTTATGGAATGGAATGGAATGGAATGTACTAGAATGGAATGTAAAGGAATGGAATGGACTGGCATAGAATGGACTCGAATGGAATGGACTGGAATGGGATGGACATGAAGGGAATGCACTCGAATGGAATAGAAAAGAATGGAATTGAATGGAATCGAATAGAAGGGAATGGAATTGATTGGAATGCGGTGAAGAAGAGTGGAGTTGAATGGAATGGAGAGGAATGGAATTGAGCGGAGTGGAGTGAAGTGGAATAGAGTGGAATAGAATGGAATGTGAAGCAATGGAATTGAACGGAGTGGAGTGGAGTGTAGTCGAGTAAAATGCAAAATAATGGAAGAAAGTGGAATGGAGTGGAGAGGAGACGAGTGAAATGCAAAAGAATGGAAGAAAGTGGAGTGGAGAGGAATGGAGTGGAGCGGAATGGAACGGAATGGAATGGAGTGGAATGGAATGGAATGGAATGGAATGGAGTGGAATGGTGTGGAGTGGAGTGGAGTGGAATGGAATGAAATGAAATGGAATAGAATGGAATGGAGTGGAATTGAGTTGATTGGAGTGGGGTGGAGTGAAGTGGAATGGAAAGGAGTGGAATTGAATGGAACGTAGAGTGGAATGGAATGGAATGGAATGGAGTGCAATGGAGTGGAATGGAATGTAGTGGAATAGAATGGAATAGAAAGAAAAGGAATGGAATGGAATGAAATGGAATGGAATGCAAAGAACTCGAACGGAATGGGCTCGAATGTAATAGATTTGAATGGAATGGACTGGAAAGGAATGGACTCGAAAGGAATGGCCTCTAATGGAATGGACTCGAATGGCATGGACTCGCTTAAAAAGGACTCGTATGGAATGGAATTGAATGTAATGGAATGGAATCGAATGTAATTCAGTGAATTGAGTGGAGTGGAGTGGATTGCAGCGGAACGGAATGGAATGGGAAGAAATGGAATTGAACGGAATGGAGTGGAGTGGAGTGGAATGGACTGGAATGGAATGGAATGGAGTGGAATGGAATGGAATGGAATGGAATGGAAAGGAATGGAATGGAATGGAATAGTGTGGAGTGATGTGGAGTAGAGTAGAATGGACTGCAGGGGAGTAGAGTGGAGTGGAATGCAGTGGAATGGAATGGAATGGAATGGAATGGAATGGAATGGAGTGGAGTGCAGAGGAATGGAATTGAATGGCATGGAATGGAATGGAATCGAATGCAATGCACTCGAATGGAATGGACTCAAATTGAATATAATCAAATAGAACAGAATCAAGTGGAATGGAATCGAATTGAATGGAATCGAATGGAAGGGAATAGAAAGGAATGGAATCAAACAGAACGGAATCGAAAGGAATGCAATCGAAATGAAAGGAATCAAATGGAACGGACTCGAATGGAATGGAATCAAACAGAACGGAATCGAATGGAATGCAATCGAATGGAATGCAATCGAATGGAATGGAATCATATGGAATGGAATAGAATGGAATAGAATGAAATTTAATGGAATAGATTGGAATTGAATCGAATGGAGTAGAATCTAATTGCATTGAATGGAATCAAATGGAATGCGATGAAGTGGAGTGGAGTTCAGTGGAATGGCATGGAATGTAATGGGGTGGAATGGAATTTATATGAGTGGACTAGATTGGAGTGGAATAGAATGGAATGGAATGCAAAAGAAAGAAATTTAACAGGGTGGATTGGAGTGGAGTGGAGTGGAATGCAATGGAATGGAATGGAATGGAGTGGAGAGGAGTGGAATGGAATGCAGTGGAGTGGAATGCTGTGGAGTGGAGTGGAGTTGATTGGAATGCAGTGGAGTGGAGTGGGGTAGAAAGAAGTGGAGACGAATGGAATGTAGTGGAGTGTATTGGAATGGAAGGGAATGGAATGGAATGGAATTGAGTGAAGTTGAGTGGAGTGGAATGGAGTGTAAGAGAATGGAATGGAAAGGAACAGAACAAAGTGACATGGAGTGGAATGGAATGGAATGGAACAGAATGGAATTGAATGGAGTTTAATGGAATGGAAAGTAAAGGAATGGAATGGAATGGACTTGAATGGAATAGACTGGAAAGGAATGGACTGGAATGAAATGGAATCGAATGGAATGGACTCAAATGGAAAGGACTGGAATTGAATGGAGTGGAATGGACTCAAATGGAATGGACTCTAATGAAAGGGAATCAAATGGAATGGAATCGAACTGAATGAAATCGAATGTCATCAAATGGAATCAAATGGAATATGGTGAAGTGTAGAAGAGTGAATTGGAATACAGTGGAACGGAATTGGATGGATTGGAATTTAATGTAGTGGAGTGGAGTGGAAAGGAGTGGATGGAATGGAATGGGGAGAAATGGAATTGCATGGAGTGGAGTGGAGTGGAATGGAATGCAATGGAATAGAATGTAAAGGAATGGAATGGAATCGAATGGAATGGAATTGAGGGAAATGGAGTGGAAAGTAGTGCAACGGAATGGAGTGGAGTGGGATGGGATGGAGTGTAGTGGAGTAGAATGGAATGCAATGGAATGGAATGGAATGGAAAGGACATGATTGGAAAGGACAAGAATGGAACGGAATGGGATGGAATGGAATGCAATAGAATCGAACGGAAAGCAATGGAAACGAATTGAATGGAATTGAATGGAATGGAATCAAATGGAATGTAATCAAATGGAATGGAAATGAATAGAATGGAAAGGAATGGAATGGACTCCAATAGAATGGAAAAAATGGAATGGAGTGCAATTGAATTGAAAGGAATGGATTGCAATTGAATGCAAAGGCATCGAATGGAATGGAAGGGAATCAAATGCAATGGATTCGAATGGATTGGAATGGAATGTAATGGACACGAAAGGAAAGCAATAGAATGGAATGGAAAGGAATGGAATGGATTGGAATCTAATCAAAACGAATGGAATAGAATCAAATGTAATGGACTGGAATGGAATGGAATCAAATGGAAAGGAATGGAATGGAATGTAATTGAATGTTATCAAATGGAATCAAATGGAATGCGGTGAAGATGAGTGGAGTAGAGTGGAATGCAGTGGAATGGAATTGGGTGGAATGGAATAGAATGATGGGTACTGGAGTGGAGTGCAAAGGATTGGAATGGAATGAAATGGGAGGGAATGGAATTGAACGGAGTGGAGTGGAGTGGAATACACTGGAATGGAATGGTCTGGAATGGAATGGAATGGATTTGAATGGAATGGAAAGCACTCGAATTGAGTGGAATCGAATGGAAAGGAATTGAATGGAATTCAATGGAATGGAATAGAATGGAATGGAATGGAGTGAAATGGAGTGGAAAGGAGTGGAATGGAAGAGAGTGTAGTGGAATACAATGGAATGGAATGGAATCGAAAGGAATGGAATGGAATTGAACATAATGGAATGGAATACTACGGAATCGAATTGAATAGAATGGAAACGAATGGAATGGAACTGAATGGAAATGGATGGAATGGAATGGAATGAAATGCAATGCAATCGAATGGAATGGAATTGAATTGAATGGGATCGAATGGAATGAAATAGAATGGAACATAAATGAATTGAATTGAATCAAATGTCATCAAGTGGAATCAAATGGAATACGGTGAAGTGTAGACGAGTGAATTGGAATGAAGTGGAATGTAATGGGGAGGAATGCAACTTAATATAGTGGAGTGGAATGGAGTGGATGTAATGAAATGGGAAGGAATGTAATTGAATGGAGTGGAGTGGAGTGAAATGGAATGCAATGGAATGGAATGGAAAGGAATTGAATGGAAACAAACGGAATGGAATGGAGTGAAATGGAGTGGAAAGGAGTGGAATGGAATGGAGTGGAGTGCGATGTGATGGAGCGGAGTGGAGTGGAATGCAAAGCAATTGAATGGAATGGAATGGAATGAACTAGATTGGAATGGACTAGAAAGGAATGGAATGGAATAGAATGAGATGGAATGGAATGCACTCAAATGGAATGGAATGGAATGAAATAGAATCGAATGGAATGGAAGGGAAATGAATGTAATCGAATGGAATTGACATGAATGGAATGGAATCAAATGGAATGGAAAGGAATGGAATGGACTCGAATGGAATGGAACAAAAGGGAATGGAGTGCAATGGAATCGAATGGTATGGAATTCAATCAAAAGCAATGGTATCTAATGGATTCGAAGTGAATCCAAATCAATGGATTCCAATGGAATAAAATGGAAAGGAATGAAAACGAAAAAATGGAATGGAATGGAATGGAATGAAATGATATCGAATGGAATGGAATGGAATGGAACGGAATGGAATGGAATTGAATCGAATGGAATATAATCAAATGGAATGGACTGGAATGGAATGGAATCAAATGGAATGGAATCGAAAGGAATGGAATCGAATGGAATGGAATTGAATGGCATCGAATGGAATCAAATGGAATTTGGTGAATTTGAGAGGAGTGGGGTGGAATGGAATGGAATGGAATGCGGTGGAATTCAATAGAATGAAGTGTAGTGGAGTGAAGTGCACTGGAGTGGAATAGAATGATATGACAAGGAATGGAATTGAACAGAGTGAAGTGGAGGTGAATAGACTGCAATGGAATGGACTGGCATGGAATGGAATAGATACGAATGGAATGGAATCGAAGGGAAAGGAATTGAAAGGAATGGAATCAAATGGAATGGAAAGGAATGAAATGGTGTACAAAGGAGTGGAATGGAATGGAGTGGAAAGTGATGGGATGGAGTGCAGTGGAATGGAATGGAAAGGAATGAAATGGTGTTGAAAGGATTGGAATGGAATGGAGTGGAAAGGGATGGGATGGAGTGCAGTGGAATAGAATGGAATTGAATGGAATGAAATGGAATGGAATAGAATGGACTAGAATGGAATGGAATGGACTCCAAAGGAATGGAATGGAATGCAATAGAAACAAAAGGAATGGAGTGGAAACGAATGAAATGGACTCGAAAGGAATGAAATAAAATGGAATGGAATCAATAGGAATGGAAAACAATGGAATGGAATCGAAAGGATTGCAATCAAATGGCATCGACTGGAATATGTTGAAGTGGAGAAGACCAGTGTGGAATGGAGTGGAATGAAATGGGGTGGAATGGAATTTAATGGAGTGCAGTGGATTGCAGTGGAATGAAATGGAAAGTAATGGAATGAGAAGAAATGGAATTGATTGGATTGGAGTTTAGTGGAGTAGAGTGGAAATGATATGCAAAGGAATGGAATGGAAAGGAATGGAATGGAATGGAATGGAATGGAATCGAATCGAATCGAATAGAATAGAATCGACTGGAATGGAATCGAATGAAATGCAATGGAATTGCGTGGAATAGAGGGGAATGGAATGGAGTCGAATGGAATGGCATCGAATGGCATGGAATCAAATGGCATCAAATGGAATCAAATGGAATTCGGTGAAGTGGAGTGGAGTGTAGTGCAAAAGAGTAGAATGGAATGTGGTGGAAAGCAATTGAGTGTAGTGGAGGGGAATGGAGTGGAATGGAATGGGAGGGAATAGAACTGAATGGAGTGGAGTTGAGTGGAGTGGATGGGAATGGAATGGACTGGAATGGAATGGAATGGAAAGAATGGAATTTAATGGAATGGACTCGATGGAATGGACTGGAATGGAATGGCATCGAATGTAATAGAATCAAATGAAATGGACACGAAAGGAATGAAATCAAATGCAATGGAATGGAATGGAATGGAGTGGAATGGAATGGAATGGAATGGAGTGGAATGGAATGGACTCGAATTTAATGGAAAGGAATGGAATGGACTCAAGTGGAATGGACTGGAATGGAATGGAATGCAATGGAATGAAATCAAATGCAATGGAATTGAAGGGAATGGGATCAAATGGAGTGGAATCGAATGGAATGGAATTGAATGGAGTCGAATCTAATCGAATGGAATGCATTGAAGGGGAGTGCAGTGGAGTGGAATGTAGTGGAATGGAATGGTGTGGATTGGATTCGAATGGAGTGTATTGGTGTGTACTGGAATGGAATAGAATGGAATGGAATGGAGTGGAATGGAATGGAATGGAATGGAGTAGAATAGAGTGGACTGGAGTGGAGTGGAATGGAATGGAAAGGAATGAAGTGGGTTGGAGGGGATTGGAGTGCAGGGCAGAGGAGGGTAATGGAATGGATTGGTATGGAATGGAATGGAATAGAATGCACTCTTCGTGAATAGAATGGATTTGAATGGAATGGAAACGAAAGGAAAGGAATCAATTGGAATGGAATCCAATGGAATGTAATGAAATGGAAGGGAATCGAATGGCATTGACAGGAATGCCGTGAAGAGGAGCAGAGAGGAGTGGAATGGAGTGGAATGGAATGGGGTTGAATAGGATTGAATGGGGTGGAGTGGATAAGAGTGGAATGGGGTGGAAAGGAATGAGAAGGAATGGAAGTGAACGGAGAGGATTATAGTGGAGCGGACTGGAATGGAATGCAATGTAAGGAAATGGATTGGAAAGGAATGGAATGGAATGGAGTGGAATAGAGTGGAAAGGAGTGGAATTTAACGGAGTGGAGTGGAATGGAATGGAAAGCAGTTTACTGGAATGCACTCAAACAGAATGAACTGGAATGGACTGGAATGGAAATGACTGGAATGGAATGGACTCAAATGGAATGGACTCAAATTGAATGGACTGGAATGGAATGGACCATAAGGAATGGACTCCAACGGAATGGAATCGAATGGAATCTAATGGAACATACAGGACTGGAATGGAATGGAATGCAATGGACTTGAATCGAATTGAATCAAATCGAATGGAATGGAATCAAATGGAATGGGATGGAATGGAATCGAATGGAATGGAATCAAATGGAATGGAATCGAATTGAATGGGATGGAATGGAATGGAATCCAATAGAATGGAAATGAATTGAATGGAACCGAATGTCTTCAAATGGAACCAAATGGAATACGGTGAACTGTAGAGGTCAAGAGTGGAATGGAGTGGAATGGAAAGGGGTGGATTGGAATTGAACATAGTTGAGTGGAGTGGAGTGGTGTGGAATGGAGTTGAATGGAACGGGGTCAACGGAATTGAATGGATTGGAGTGGAGTTGACTGGAATGGAATGGATTGGGAAGGAATGAAATTGAACGGAGTGGATTGGAGTGGATTTCAGTGGAATGAAATGGAATGGAACATAGTGGAATGGAGTGGAATGGATTGGAATGCATTGGAGTCACGTGGAATGGAAGGGAGTGTAGTAGAATTGAATGGAATAGAAGGGAAGGGAAAAGACGGGAAAGGAATGGAAATGAATGGAATGGAATGGAATGCAATGGAATGGAATGGAATGGAATGCAATGGAATGGAATGGAATGGAATGGAATGGAATGGAATGAAATGGAATGGATTGGAATGGAATGGGATAGACTCCAATGGAGTGGACCTGATCGGAATGGACTGGAATAGAATGGACTCGAATGGAATGGACTCAAAGGGAATGGAATCGAACGGAATGCAATCAAATGGATCGGAATCGAAAGGAAAGGAATCGAATGGAATGGAATCGAATGGAATGGAATTGAATAAAGAGCAATGGAATGGCATCTAATGGAAAGTAATGGAATACGGTGAAGTGGAGTGGAGAAGATTGGAATGGGGTGGAATGGAATGGGGTGGAATGGAATTGAATGCATAGGAGTGGAGTGGAGAGGTGGGGAGGAGTGGAATGCAATGGAATGGAATGGAATGGAGTGGAGTGGAATGTATTGGAGTGAAGTGCAATGGAATGGCGTTGAGTGAATTGGAGTGCAATGGAGTGGAGAGGAATGGAGTGTAGTGGAGTGGATTGGAATAGAAAGAAATGGAGTGGAATGGAATGGAGTGAAGTTCAGTGGTGTGGAATGGAGTGGACTGGAAAAGAATGGAAAGGAAAGGAAAGGAACGGAGTGAAGTGGAGTGGAATATAATGCAACGGAATGGAATGGAATGGAATGGAGTTTAATGGAATGGAATGGAATGGAGTGTAATGGAATGGAGTGGACTCAAATGGAATGGAGTGGAATGGAATGGAATGGAACGGACTCAAATGAAATGGACTCGAATGGACGGGAATCAAATGGAATGGAATCAATAGGAATAGAATGAAATTGAATGGAATCGAGTGGAATTCGGTGAAGAGGAGTGGAGTGGAGTGGGATAGAGTGGAGTGGAATGGAATAGAATGGAGTTGATTGGAGTGGAGGGGAATGGAGTGGAATGGAATCAAATGAGAAGGAATGGAATTGAAAAGAGTGGATTGGAGAGGAGTGGAGTGGAATGCATGAGAATGGAATGGAATGGAGTGGACAGTAGTGTAGTGATGTGGAGTGGAGTTGAATGCAATGGAATGGAATGGAATACAATGGACTCAGGTGGAACGGACTAGAATGGAATGGACTCGAATGGAATGGACGGGAATGGAATGGATTCGAATGGAATGGAATTGAATGGAATCGAATCTAAAGGAATGGACTCAAACAGAATGGACTTGAATGGAAAGGACGGGAATGGAATGGACCCGAATGGAATAGAAGGGCATGGCAATGAATGGAAGTGAAAGGAATGCGGTGAAGTGGAGTGAAGTCGAATGGGGTGGAATGGAATGGGGTGGAATAAAATTGAATGGAGTTTAGTGGAGTGGAGTGGAGTGGAGTGGAATAGAGTGGAATGGAATGGAATGGGAAGGAATGGAATTGATCAGATTTCAGTGGAGTGGAATGGAGTGGAGTGGAGTAGAATAGACAGCAATGGAATGGACTGGAATGGAATGGAATGGATTGGAATGGAATGGACTCGAATGGAACAGACGCGAATGGAATGGAATCAAATGGAATAAAATTGAATGGAATGGAATCGAACGGAATTGAATGGCATCAAATGGAATCAAATGGAATGCAGTAAAGTGGAGTGGAGCAAAGTGGAATGGAGTGGAATGGAATGAGGTGGAATGGAAAAGAATGTAGTGGACTGGAGTGTAGGGGAGTGGAGTGGAATGGAAAGGAAATGGAAGGAATGGAATTGAACTCAGTGGAGTGGAGCAGAAGGGAGTGGAATGCAATTGGATGGATGCAATGGAGAGGATTGGAGTGGAGAGGAGTGGAGAGGAGAGGAATGGAATAGAATGGAATTGAATAAAATGGGCTTGAATGAAATGAACTGGAATGTAATGGATTCGAATGGAATGGACTCAAATGGCATCGAATGCAATAAAATGGAATGCTGTTAAGTGGAGTGAAGTGGAGAGGAATGCAGTGGAATGGAATGGGGTGGAAAAAAATTGAATAGAGTTTAGTGGAGTGGAGAGGAATGGAGTGGAATGGAACCGAATGGGAAGGAATGCAATTGAATGAATTGCTGTGGTGTGGAGTGGAGTGGAGTGCAGTGGAATGGACTGGAGTGGAATAGACTGGAATGGAATGGACTGGAATAGAATGGAATGGAATGGAACGAAATAGAATGGAATGGAATCGAACGGAATGTAATCAAATGGAATGGAATCAAATGGAATAAAATTGAATGGAATTGAAATGAAAGAAATCGAATGGAATCAATTGGAACCGAATGGAATGTGGTGAAGTTGAGTGGAGCAAAAGGGAGTGGAGCAAAATTGAATGGAGTGTAATGGAATGCGGTGGAATGGAATAGAATGGAGTGGAGTGGAGTCGAGGGGAATGGAGTGGAATGGAATGGAATAGGAAGGAATGGAATTGAATGGAGTGGAGTGACATGGAGGGAAGCGGAATGCAATGGAATGGATGGAATGGGGTGGAGTGGAGTGCAGAGGAATGGAGTGCAGTGGAATGTAAAAGGATGGAATTGATTGGAATGGACGCGAATGAAATGGACTGAGATAGAATGGACTCGAAACGAATGGACTGGAATGGAATGCAATCGAATGGAATGGACATTAATACAATGGACTCGAAAGGAATAGAATCGAATATAATGGAATGGAATGGAATGGAATCGAATGTAATGGAATTGAATGGAATAGGATCGAATGGAATGTAATCGAATCAAATGGAATAAAATGCAGTGGAATCTATTGAATGCCATCGAATAGAATGGAATCGAATGGAATGGAATCGAATTGAATTGAATCGAATGACATCAAACGGAATAGAATGGAATGCGGAGAACTGGAGAGGAGTGGAGTGGAATAGAGTGGAATGGAATGGGGAGGGATGGAATTGAATGTAGTGGAGTGGAGTGTAATGGAGTGGAATTGAATGGGGAGGGATGGAATTGAATGTAGTGGAGTGGAGTGTAATGAAGTGGAGTGGAATGTAAAGGGAAGGAATAGTATTGAAAGGAGTGGACTGTAGTGGAAAGGAATGGAATGCAATGGAATGGAATGGAATGGAATGCAATGGATTAAAATGGAGTGGAAAACAGTGGAATGGAATGGACTGGATTGGGGTAGGATGGAGTGGGGTGGAGTGGAATGGAATGGAATGGAGTGGAGTGGAGTGGAATGGAGAGGAGGGTAGTGGAGTGGAATTGAATAGAATGGAAAGGAATGGAATGGAATGGACTCGAATGGAATGGACTGGTATAAAATGGACTCAAATGCAATGGACTGGAATGGAATGGACCTGAATGGAATAGACTCGAATGGAAAGCACTCACATGGAAAGGATCGACAATAATGGAATGGAATGGAATGGAATGGAATGGAATGGAATGGAATGGAATGGAATGGAATCAAATCAATTGGAATGGAATCGAATGGAATGGGATAGAATGGAATGGAATTGAATCGGATGGGATTGAATGGAATAGAATACAATGGAATAGAATCCAATTGAATGGAATCGAATGCCATCAAATGAAATCAAAAGGAACACAATGAAGTGGAGAGGAGTGGATTGGAAAGGAGTGGAATGGAAAGGGATGGAATGGAATTGAATGTAGTGGAGTGGAGTGGAGTGGAATCGAGTGGAATGGAATAGAATGAGAAGGAATGGAATTGAATGGAGTGGAGTGGAGTGGAGTGGAATGGAATGCCATGGAATGGAATGGAAAGGAAAGGAATGGAATCGAATGGAATGGAGTGAAATGGAGTGGAAAGGAGTGGAATGGAAAGGAGTGGAGTGGGATAGGTTGGAGTAGAGTGGAGTGGAATGGAATGGACTCAAATGGAAAGGAGAAGAATGGAATGAAATCAAATGGAATGGAATGGAGTCGAATGGAATAAAATGGAATGCTAAAGAATACAATGGAATGAAACGTAACTGAAAGGAATGGAACCAAAAGCAATGGACTCGAATAGAATGAAATCAAATGGAGTGGAAAGGAATGGAATGGAATAGAAAGGAATCGAATGGAATGGAAAGGAAGGGAGTGAAATGGAATCGAAAGGAATCGAATGGAATCAAGAGGAATGCAATGGAATGCAATAGAATGGAATGGAATGGAATGGAATGCAATGGATTGGAATTGAATGCAATGGATTGGAATTGAATGCGTTGGAATGGAATGGAATGGAAAGGAATAGAATCAAATTGAATGGAATTGAATGGAATGGAATTGAATGGAATGGACTGGAATGGAACAGAATCAAATAGAATGGAATGGAATTGAATGGAATGCAATGGATTGGAATTGAATGCGTTGGAATGGAATGGAATGGAAAGGAATAGAATCAAATTGAATGGAATTGAATGGAATGGAATTGAATGGAATGGACTGGAATGGAACAGAACCAAATAGAATGGAATCGAATGGAATGGAATGCAATGGATTGGAATTGAATGTGTTGGAATGGAATGGAATGGAAAGGAATAGAATCAAATTGAATGGAATTGAATGGAATGGAATTGAATGGAATGGACTGGAATGGAACAGAATCAAATAGAATGGAATCGAATGGAAAGGAATAGAAAGGTATGGAAATGAATGGCATCAAATAGAATCATATGGAATGAGGTGAAGTGTAGTGGAGTGGAGTGAAATGTAGCAGAATGGAGTGGAATGGTACGCAATGGGAAGGAATGAAATTGAGCAGAGTGGAGTGGAGTAGAGTGGAGTGGAGTGGAATGGAGAGGAATGGAATGGAATGGAATGGAATGAACTCGAGAGGAATGGACTCGAATGGAATGGAATGGAATGGACTGGAATCAAATGGAATGGAATCGAATGGAATGGATTGGAGTGGAATGGAATGGAACGGAATGAAATGGACTCGAATAGAATTGACTGCAATGGAATGGACTCAAATGAAATTGACTCGAATGGAATGGAATGGAACGGAATGGAATGGAATGGAATGGATGGAATGGAATGAACTCGAATAGAAATTACTGGAATGGAATGGACTCGAATGCAATAGAATAGATTGGAGTCGAATCTAATAGAATGGAATCAAATGGAATGGAATCGAATGTAACGGACTGCAATGGAATGGAAGTGAAAGGAATGGAATCAAATGGAATGGAATCAAACAGAATGGAGTTGCATTGAATGTAATGGAATGGCACCAATTAGAATCAAATGGAATGTGGAGAATTGGAGTGTAGTGGAGGGGAATGGAATGGAATGGAATGGAATGGAATGGGGAGGAGTGAAATGCAATGCAATGGAGTGAAATGGAATGGCATAGGAAGGAATGGAACTGAAAAGAGTGGAGTGGTCTGGAGTGGAGAGGAAAGGGCTGGAATGGAGTGGACTGGACTGGTCTGGAATGGAATGGAAAGAAAGCGAATGGAATGGACTTGAGTGGAATGGAACCGAATGGAGCGGAATCGAATGGAGTAGAATGGAATCGAATGGAACCGAAAGGAATTTGGTGAAGTAAAGTTGAGTGGAGTGGAATAGAGTGGAATGGAAAGGGTGGAATTCAATAGAATGGAGTGGAGTGGAGTGGAGGGGAATGGAGTGGAATGCAATGGAAGGACAAGGAATGGAATTGAACAGAATGGAGTGGAGTGGAGTGAAATGGAGTGGAATGCAATGGAATGCAGTGGAATGGAGTGGAGAGGAGTGCAGTGATGTGAAGTGGAATTGAATGCTATGGAATGGAATGGAATGAAATTTGGGAATGGAATGGAATGGAATGGAATGGAATGGAATTGACTTAAATGTAATGGACTGGAATGGAATGGACACGAATGGAATGGAATCGAATATAATGGAATGAAATGGAATTGAATGGAAGGGAATTTCAGGAAACGGACTCGAATGGAATGGACTCGAATAGAATGGACCGGAATGGAATGGACTCGTATGGAATGGAAATGAATGGAATGGAATCGAATGGAATGGAATCGAATGAAATGGACAGGTAATAAATGGATTCGAATGAAATGGACTCGAATGGAATGCACTGGAATGGAATGGACTCGAATGGAATGGACTTGAATGGCATCGATTGGAATTGAATGGAAAGTGGTGAACTGGAGTGGACTGAAGTGGAAAGGAGAGGAATGCAATGGGATGGAATGGAATTGAATGGAGTTAAGAGGAGTGGAGTGGAATGGAGTGGAATGGAATGGAATGGGTAGGAATGGAATTGAACGGATTGGAGTGGAGTGGAATGGATTGTAGTGGAGTGGAATGGACTGAAATGGAATGGACTGGCATGGAACGCAACAGAATGGAATGGAAAGCATTGGAGTGGACTAGAGTGGAATGGACCCAAATGGAATGGAATCAAATGCAATATAATTGAATGGATTAGAATCGAACAGAATCAAATGAAATCGAATGGAATCAAATGCAATGCGGTGAACTGGATTGGAGCAAAGTGGAATGGAGTGGAATGGAATGGACTGGAATGGAATAGAGTAGAGTGTATTGGAGTGGCGGGGAATGGAATGGAATGGTAAGGAATGGAATTGAAAGGAGTGGAGTGGAGCGGAGTGTAGTGGAATGTAATGGAATGGATGGAATGGAGTGGAGTGGAGAGGAGAGGCATGGAGTGGAGTGGAATGGAATAGAATGGAATTGAATAAATGGACTCACATGAAATGGACTGGTATAGAATGGACTGGAATGGAAAGGACTGAAATGGAATGCACTCAAATAGAATGGACGCTAATGGAACGGAATCAAGTATAATGGAATGGAATGGAATCGAATGGAATGGCTTTGAATGGAATGAGATCAAATGGAATAGTAGCGAATGGAATGGAATCGCATGGAATGGAATCGAATGGAATGGAATGAAATGAAATGGCATCGAATGGAATGGAATCTAATGGCATCGAATGGATTCGAATGGAATGCAGTGAACTGGAGAGGAGTGAAGTGGAATGGAGTGGAATAGAATAGGGTGGAACGGAACTGAATGTAATGGAGAGGTGTGGAGTGGAATGGAGTGGAATGAAATGGAATGGGAAGGAATAGTATTGAAGGGAGGGGACTGGAGTAGAGTGGAGTGGAATGGAATGTAATGGAATGGAATGGAATGCAATGGAATGGAATGGAATGGAATGGAATGGAATGGAATGGAATGTGATGCAACACAATGGAGTAAAATAGAATGGAAAGGATAGGAAAGGAGTATACTGGAGTGGGTTAGGATAGTGTGGAGTGGAGTGGAATGGAATGGAGTAGAATGGAATGGAATGGAGTGGAGTAGAGTGGAAAGGAGTGGAATGTAGTGGAATGGAATAGAATGCAATGGAATGGAAAGGTATGGACACTAATGGAATGAACTGGAATGGAGTGGACTCAAATAGAATGAAGTGGAATGGAACAGACACAAATGGAATGGACTCGAATGGAATGGAAGTGAATGGAATGGAATCAAACATAATGGAATGGAATGGAATCGAATGAAATAGAATGGAATGGAATCATATGGAATTGAATCAAATTTAATGTGAGGTAATGTAATGGAATCGAATGGAATGGAATCGAATGGAAAGGAATCAAATCGAATGCGATTGAATGGAATAGAATCAAATGGAATGGAATCGAATTGAATGGAATTGAATGTCATCAAATGAAATCAAAAGGAATATGGTAAAGTGGAGAGGAGGGGAGTGGAATGGAGTTGAAGGGAATTTGGTGGAATGGAATTGAATGTGGTGGTGTGGAGTGGAGTGGAATGGTGTGGAATGGAATGGAATGGGAAGGATTGGAACTGAATGGAGTGGAGTGTAGTGCAGTGGAGTGGAATGGAATGGAATGGATAGTAAAGGAATGGACACGAATGGAATGGAAGGGACTCGAATGGAATGGACTGGAATAGAATGGACTGGAATGGAATGGACACGAATGGAATGGACTGAAATGGAATGGACTGGAATGGAATGGACTCGAATGGAGTGGAATAGAATGCAATGAAATAGAATGCAATGGAATCAAAAGAAATGGAATCGAACGGAATGGAATCAAATGGAATGTGGTATAGTGGAGGGCAGTGGAGTGGAATGGAGTGGAATGGAATGCGGTGGAATGGAATTGAATGGAGTGGCGTAGAGTGGAATGGAGTGGAAAGGAAAGGAATGGGAAGTAACGGAATTGAATGGAGTGGAGTGGAGTGGAATGGAGTGGAATGGAGTGGAGTGGAGTGGAGTGCAACGGAAAGGCATGGAATAGAATGGAATGGAATGGACTCAAATGGAATGGAATGGAATGGAATGGACTCAAATGGAATGGAATCAAAAGGAATGGAATAGAATGTAATGGAATCAAATTGAATGGAATTGAAAGGAATAGAATGGAATGGAATCGAATGGAATGGAATGAAATCAAATGGAATTTGGTGAATTGGAGTGGAGTGGATTGGAATGGAGAGGAATGGAATGTGAGGAATGGAATTGCATAGAGTGGAGTGGAGTGGAATGGAGTTGAATGGTATGGAATGAGAAGGAATGGAATTGAACATAGTGGAGTGGAGTGGAAAGCAATAGAATGGAATTGAATACAGTGGAGTGCAGAGGAGTAGACTGGAATGCAATGAAATGGAATGGAATGGAATTGAGTGGAAAGGAAAGGAATGGAATGGAATTGAGTGGAATGTAAAGAATGGAATGGAATGGAATCGAATAGAGTGTAATAGAATGGAATCGAATCAAATCAAATGGAATCGAATGGAATTCGGTGAAGTAAAGAGCAGTGGAGTGGAAAGGATGGGAATACAATGGGGAGGAATGGATTTGAATGGATTGTAGTGGACTGGTGTAGAATGGAAGGGAATCGAATGGAATGGGAGGGAATGGAATTCAATGGTGTGGAGTGGATTGGAGTGGAGTCGAATGTACCGGAATGGAGTGGAGTGGTGCGTAATATAAATGATTGCAATGCAGTGGAGTGCAATGTCGTGGAATGGAGTGGAGTAGAAAGGAATGGAATGGAATGGAATGGAATGGAATGGAATGGAATGGAATTCAATGAAATGGGACAGAATGGAATTGAACAAAGTGCAGTGTCGTGGAGTGGAGAGGAGTGGAATGCAAAGTAATAGAATGGAACGGAGTGGAATGGAATGGAATGGAATGCAATGAAATGGAATGGACTTGAATGGAATGGCAACGAATGGAATGGAATCAAATGGAATGGAATGTAATCAAATGGAATGGAACCGAATTGGATGGAATCAAATGGAATGGAATTGAATGGAATGGCATAGAATAGAATGGAATCGAACAGAATGGAATTGAATGGAATGGTATCGAATGGAATGGAATGCAATGGAATTGATTGGAATGGCATAGAATGGAATGGAATTGAACGGAATGGAATTGAATGGAATGGTATCGAATGGAATGGAATGCAATGGAATTGAATGGAATGGAAGGGAAACAAATGGTATGGTATTGAATGTAATGGAATCGAATGGAATCAAATGGAATTGAAAGAATGTGGTGAAGTGGAGTAGAGTGGGATGAAATGGAGTGGAATGGAATGTGGAGGAATGGAATTGTATGGAGTGGAGTGGAGTTGAGTGGAATGAAGTGGAATGGAAAGGAATAGGAATGACTGGAATTGAAAGGAGTGCAGTAGAGTGGAGTGGAATGCAATGGAATGGAATTGACTGAAGTGGAGTCCAGTGAAGTGGAGTGGAGTGGGATGGACTGGAGTGGAGTGGAGTGGAGTGGAGTGGAGTGGAGTGGAGTGCAATGGAATGGAATGAAATGGAATGGACTAGAATGGAATGGACTGGAGGGGAATGGACTGGAATGGAATGGAATTGAATGGAATGGACTCAAATAGATTGGAATCGAATGGAATGGAATGGAACAGAATGGAATGGAATGGAATGGAATGGAATAGAGTGGAATGGAATGGAATGGATTCGAATGGAATGGACACGAATGGAATGGGATGGAATGGAATGGAATGGAATGCAATGGATTGGAAGTGAATGGAATAGAATTGATTGGAAAGTAATTGAATGGAATTGAATCCAATGGCATTGAATGGAATAGAATGGAATGCTGTGAAGTCAACTGGAGTGGAGTGGAATAGAGTGGAATGGAATGGGGTGGAATGTAATTGAATGGATTGGAGTGGAGTGGATTAGAATGGAGTGGAATGGAAGGGAATGGGAAGAAATGGAATTGAATGGAGTGGAGAGGATTGGAGAGGAGTGGAATGCAATGCAATGGAAAGGAATGGAATGAAGTGGAGTTCAGTGGACTGATCTGGAGTGGAGTTGAATTGAACAGAGAGGAGTGGAGTGGAATGGAATGGTGTGAAGTGGAATGGAATTGAATGCAATGAACTGGAATGGAGTGGACTGGAATTGAATGGACTCGAATGGAATGGAATGGAATGGACTCGACTGGAATGGTCTGGAATGGAATGGACTCAAACGGAGTGCAATCGGATGGAATGGAATCAAATGAAAAGGAATCGAATGGAATGGCATCGAATGCAGTGGAATCGAATGTAATGGAATCAAATGGCAATGAATGGCATCAAATGGGAACAAATAGAATGCAGTGAGATGGAGTGGAGTGGAGTGGGATTGAGTGGAAGGGAATGGGTTCGAACGGAACTGAATGGAGTAGCTTGGAAAGTAGTGGAATAGAGTGGAATGGAATGGAATGGGAAGGATTGGAATTGAAAGGAGTGGATTGGAGTGGAGTGATATGGAGTAGAAAGGAATGCACTGGAATGGAATGGAATGGAGTGGAGTGGAGCTGAGTGGAGTGGAATGGAGTTGAGTGGAGTGGAATGGAAGGGAATGGAATGGAAGGGAATGGAATGATAAGGAATGGAGTGTAGCAGAGTGAAATTCAATGCAATGTAATAGAAGAGAATACAAAGGAATGGAATGGAATGGAATGAATTTGAAGGAAACGGAGTGGGATGGAATGGACTGGAATGGAATGGGCTTGAATGGAATAGGCTCGAATGGAATGGATTCGAATGGAATGGATCCAAAGGGAATGAAATAGAATGGAATGGATTTGAATGCAGTGTAATCAAATGGCATTGAAAGGAATTGAATAGACTTAGTGAAAGGGAGTTAAAGGGAGTGGAATGGAAAGGCATGGAAAGGGATGTAATGGAGTGAAGTGGAGTGGAGTGCAATAGAGTGGAACAGAATGGAATGGATTGGAGTACATTTGAGTGGAGTGGAGAGGAATGCAGTGGAATGGAACGGAAAGGAATGGAGTGGAGTGAAGTGGAACAAAGTGGAATGGAATGGCATGGAAAGCAGTGACATGTAATGGATTGGATTGGAATGGCTTGGAATGGAATGGAGTCGAGTGGAATGGACTTGAATGGCACGTACTCGAATTCAGTGCACTCGAAAGGAATGGACTCGAATGGAATGGACTGGAAGGGAATATATATGAATTGAATTGACTCGAATGGAATGGACTCGAATGGAATGGACTGGAATGGAATGGAATCAAATAGAGTGGAATCGGACGGAATGGAATCAGATGGCAAGGAATGGAATGGAATGGAATGGAATGGAATGGAATGGAATGGAATGGAATGGAATGGAATCAAATGGAATCGAATGCAATGGAATAGAATGGTAACAAAAGGCATTGAATGGGATCGAATAGAGCCCGGTGAGGTGGAGTGGAGTGGAAGGGAATTGAGTGGAATGGAATGGGTTGGAACAAAACTGAATGGAGTAGCTTGGAATCTAGTGGAATGGAGTGGAATGGAATGGAATGGGGAGGAATGGAATTGAACGGAGTGGAGTGGAGTGGAGTGTAAAGGAGTGGAATGAAATGCAATAGAATGGAATGGAGTGGAATGCAATGCAATGGAATGGAATGGAGTGGAATGGAGTGGAGTGGAGCAGAGCAGAGAGGAGTGGAGTGGAGTGAAGTGGAGTGGAGTTCAGTGGAGTGGAATGGAATGGAATGGAATGGAAGGGAATGGAATGGTATGGAATGGAGTGTAGTGGAGTGGAATGGAGTGGAATGGAATGGAGTCATGCGGAGTAAAATGGAATGCAATGGAATAGAATGGAATAAAATGGAATGGACTCGAATAGAATGGACTTGGTTGAAACGGAGTGGGATGGAATGGACTGGAATGGAATGGGCTTGAATGGAAAGGGATCGAATGGAATGGATTCGAATTAAATAGAATCGAATGGAATGAAATCTAACGGAATGGAATTGAATGCAATATAATCAAATGACATCAAATGGAGTCGAATGACATCGAATGGAATCGAATGGACTTAGTCGAGTTAATTGGAGTGGAAAGGAGTGGAATGGAATGGGGTGGAAAGGAATTTAATGGAGTGAATTGGAGTGGAGTGGAATGGAGTGGAATGGAATGGAATGGAATGGAAAGGAATGGAATTAATTGGAGTAGAGTTGAGTGGAGTAGATTGGAGAGGAATGCAGTGGAATGGAATAGAAAGGAATGGAGTGGAGAGGAGTAGAGTGGAAAGGATTGGAATGAAATGGAATGGAAAGGTGTGGCATTGAATGGGTTGGAATGGTATGCACTGGAATGGAATGGAATCGAGTGGAATGGACTCGAATGGCACGTACTCGAATTGAGAGGACACGAAAGGAATGGACTCGAATGTAATGGAGTCGAATGTAATGGTCTCGAATTGAATGGAAATGTATGGATAGGAATCGAATGGAAAGGCATCAAATGGAATAAAATCGAATGGAATGGAATCTAACGGATTGGAATCAAATGGAATGGAATCGAATGTAATGGAATGTAATGGAATGGAATCGAGTGGAATATAATCGAATGGAATATAATAAAATGGCATCGAATGGAATCAAACGGAATGCGGTGAAGTGGAGTGGAGTGGAATGGAGTGGAATGGAATGGTGTTGAATGGAATTGAACGGAGTGGAGTGGAGTAGAATGCAGTGGATTGGAATTAAATGGAAAGGAATGGAATTGAACAGAGTGGAGTGGAGTGGAATGCAATGGAATGGAATGAAGTGTAGTGGACTGGAGTTGAGTGGAGTGGAGTGGAGTAGAGTTGAATGGAAAGAAGTGGAGTGGAATGGAATGAAGTGGAATGCAGTGGAGTGGATAAATTGCAATGGAATGGAATGCAATGGAAAGGAATGGAGGGGAATGGAGTTGACTGGAGGGGAGTGGAATGGAATGGAGTAGAGTGGAATGGAATGGAATGGAGTGGAATGGAATGGAATGGAATGGAATGGAATCGAATGGAATGGAATTTAATGGAGTGGAGTGGAATAGAATGGAATGGAATGGAATCGAATGGAATGGAATTTAATGGAGTGGAGTGGAATAGAATGGAATGGAGTGGAATGGAATGGGTTGGAAAGGAATGGAATGGAACAGAATGGAAAGGAGTGTAGAAAAGTGGAGTGGAGTGGAATGGAATGGAATACAAAGGAACGGACCAGAAGGGAATGGACCCGAATGGAATGGACTTGAATGGAATGGACTTGAATGCAATGGACTCGAATAGAAAGGAATTGAATGGAATGGAATCGAAAGAAGTGGAATCAAATGGCATCTAATATAATCGAATGGAATGTGGTGAAGTGGAGTGGAGTAGACTCGAATGGAGTGGAAAGGAATGGGGTGGAAGTGTATTGAATAAAGTGGAGTGCAGTGGAGTGGAAAGGGGTGGAATGGAATGGAATGGGAAGGAATGGAATGGGAAGGAAGGGAATGGAATGGAGTGGAGTGCAGTGGAGTGGATTGGAATGCAATGGAATGGAATGGATTGGAGTGGAGTGGAGTGGAATGGAATGGAGTGGAATGAAATAGAATGGAATGGAATTGAAAGCAGTGGAGTGGAGTCGAATGGAGTGGAATGGAAAGGAATGGGAAGGAATGGAATTGAATAGAGTGGAGTGGAGTGCAATAGAATGGAATGGAATGAATTGGAGGGGAATGGAGTGGAGTGCAATGGAATGGAGTGGAGTGGAGTAGATTGGAGTGGCGTGGAGTGGAGTTTAATGGAATGGAATGGAGTGGAATGGAATGGAATGGAATGGAAAGGTTTCGAATGGAACTAAATCGAATGGTTTGGAATAGAATGGGAAGGAATCAAATGGAATGGAATCACATAGAATGGAATCGAATGAAACGCAAATGAATGGAATGGAATAAAATGGAATTGAATTGAATGAAATGGAATCAAATGGAATGGAATCGAAGGGCATCGAATTGAATCGAATGGAATGTGGTGAAGTGGAGTGGAGTGGAATGGAGTGGAATGGAATGGGGTGGAATGAAATTGAATGGAGTGGAGTGGAGTGGAATGCAATGGAATGGAATGGAATGGTGTGGATTGAATTGGAGTGTAGTGGAGTGTATTGGAGTGGAATGGAGCGGAATGGAGTGGAGGGGAGAGGAATGGAATGCAGTCGAGTAGGATGGAATGGAATGGAGTAGAATGGAATGGATTGAAGAGGAAAGGAATGGAATAGAATGGAATGGGGTGGAAACGAATGGAATTTAATGGAGTGTAGTGGAGTGGATTTGAGAGGAATGCTATGGAATGGAATGGAATGGAGTGGAGTGGAGAGGAGTGGAGTGGATAGGAGTGGAGTGTAATGACATGAAATAGAATAGAGGACAGTGGAATGGATTGGAATGGAGTGGAGGGGAGTGGAATGGAATAGAATGGAATTGAATGGGTTGAAGTGGAGTGGGGTGGAGTGGAATGCAATGGAATGGAATTGAACGGATTCAAATGGAGTGGAGTAGTGTGGAATGGAATGGAAGGGAATGGAGTGGATACGACTGGAATTGAATGGGATGTAATGGAATCGAATGGAATGCGGCGAAGTGGAGTGGAGTGGAGTGGAATGGAGTGGAATGGAATTTGGTGGAATGTATTTGAATGGAGTGGAGTGGAGTGGATTGGAATGGAGTGGAATGGAATGGAATGGAAATGAATGGAATTGAATGAAGTGGAGGAGATTGGAGTAAAATGCAAAGGAATGGAAAGGAATGGAGTGGAGTGGAGTGGAATAAATTGTAGTGGAGTGGATAGGAATTGAGTGGAATGGAATGGAATGGAATGGAAAGGCATGGAGTGCAATTGAATCGAATTCAATGGAATGGAATGGAATGCAGTGGAGTGCAGTGCAGTTTAGTGGAGTGGAGTAGAACGGAGTGGAATGGAATGGAATGAAATGGAGTGGAATGGAATTGAATGGAATGGAATGGAATGGAGTTGAAACGAATCAAATCGAATGGAATGGAATCAAATGGTATGGAATGGAATGGAATGGAATCGAAAGGCATCAAATGTAATTGAATGGAATGCGATGAAGTGGAGTGGAGTGGAGTGAAAGGCAGTGGAATGGAATTGAGCAGAGAGGAGTGGAGTGGTAGGGATTGAAATGGAATGGAATGGGAAGGAATGGAATTGAATGGACTGAAGTGGAAAGGAGAGGAGTGCGATGAAATGTAACGGAATGGAATGTAGTAGAGTGGAGTGAAGGGGAGTGGAATGTAATATAATGAAATGGAATGGATTCGAATGGAATGGACTGGAATTTAATGGACTGGAATGGAATGGACGCTAATGGAATGGAATCAAATGGAAAGGAAATGAACGGAATGGAATCGAATTGAATGGATTCGAATGGAATGGACTGGAATGGAATGGACTCGAATGGATGGCACACGAATTGAATGGAATTGAATGAAATGGAATGGCATGGATTCGAATGGAATGGACAGGAATTTAATGGACTGGAATGGAATGGACTGGAATGTAACGGAATTGAATGAAATGGAAACGAATGGAATGGATTCGAATGGAATGGAATCGAATGGAATAAATTCAAATGCAATGGAATCGAACGGAATGGAATCGAATGGAAAGGATTCAAATGGGATGTACTGGATTGTAATGGACGCGAAAGAAATGCACTCGAATGGATCGGACTGGAATGGAATGGACTCAGATGGAATGCAATCGAAAGGAATGGAATTGAATGGAATTGAATGGAATTGAATGGAATGTGGTGAATTGGAGTGGAGTGGAGTGGAGTGGAGGGAAATGCAGTGGAATGGAATGGGGTGGAATGGAATTCAATAGAGTGGAGTGAAGTGGAGAGGAAAGGAGTGGAATGGAATGGAATGGGTAGGAATGTAATTGAACGGAGGGGAAAGCAGTGGAGTGGAGTGGAATGCAATGGAATTGCAATGCATTTGAGTCGAGTGGAGTGGAGTGGATTGGTATGCCATGGAATGGAGTGGTGCGGAGTTAAATGGAGTGGAGTGGAGTGGAATGGAATAAAATGAAATGGAGTGGAAAGGAATGGAATGGAGAGGAATGGAACGGAACGGAATGGAATGCAAGGCAAAGGAATTGAGTGGAGTTCAGTGGAGTGGAATTCAGTGGAATGAAATGGAATGGACTCGAATGGAATGGAATGGAATGGAATGCAAGGGAATGGAATTGAGTGGAGTGGAGTGGAGTGGAATTCAATGGAATGGAATGGAATGGACAGGAATGGAATGGAGTGGAATGGAATGGACTTGAATGGAATGGACTCAAAAGGGATGGACACAAATGGAATGGACTGGAAGGGAGTAGAATGGTATTGAATGGAGTGCTGTGGAGAGGAGTGGAGTGGAGTAGAATGGAAAGGAATGAAATGGTATGCAATGGAATGGAATATACTCGAATGGAATGGACACGAAGGTAATGGAGTCGAATTTAATGGATACAAATGGAATGGAATAGAATGGAGTGGAATCGAATGTAATGGAATCGAATGGCATCGAATAGAATCGAATGGAATGCGGTGACCTGTAGTGCAGCGGACTAGAACGGAGTGGAATGGAAAGGAGTGGAATTGAATTGAATGGAGTGGAGAGGATGGAGTGGAGTGGAATGGAATGGAATGGGAAGGAATGGAATGGGACGGAAAGGAACTGAACACAGTTGAGTGGAGTTAAAAGGAATAGAATGCAATGGAATCAAATAAAATGTAATGAAATTGAATGGAGTTGAATGGAGTGGAATGGAGTGGAAAGAAATGGAGTGGAATGGAATGGAATCGAATGGAGTGGAATGGAATGGAATGGAATGGAAAGGAGTGGAATGGAATGGAATGGAGTGTAGTGGAGTGGAGTGGAATGAAATAGAATGGAATGGAATCGAATAGAATGGAATCGAATGGAATGGAATCAAAGGGAATGTAATCGAATGAAATGGAATTGAGTGGAAAGGAATTGAATGGAATGCGCAAAAGTGGAGTGGAGTGTAGTGAAGTGGAACGGAGTGGAAAGGAGGGGGTGGAATGGAAGTGAATGGAGTGGAGTGGAGTGGAATGGAAAGGAATGGAATGGATTCGAAGGGAATGGACTGGAAATGAATGGACTTTGATGGAATGGAAGTGAATTGAATGGAGTGAAATGGAATGGACCCAAATGGCATCGAATGGTATCGAATGGAATCGAATCTAATGCTGTGAATAGGAGTGGAGTGGAGTGAAATGTAATGGAATGGAATGGGTTGGAATGATATTGAATAGAGTGGAGTGGAATGGAGTGGAATGGAGTGGAATGGAATGGGAAGGAATGGATTTGAATGGACTGGAGAAGAGTGGAATGCAATGGAATGAAATGGAATGGAAGGCAGTGGACTGGAGTGGAGTGGAAAAGAGTGGAATGGAATGGAAGCGGAAGGAATGGAATTGAATGGAGTGGAGTTGAGTGGAGAGAAATGGAATGGAATGGGAAGGAATGGTATTGAAAGGAGTGGAATGGAGTGGAATGGAATGTAAAGGAATAGAATGAAATGTAAAGGAATGGAATGGAATAGAATGGAGTAAAATGGAGAGGAAAGGAGTGGAATGGAATGGACTGGAGTGGGGAAGGATGGAGTGGTGTGGCGTGCAAACAAATGGAACTGAATGGAATGGAATGGAGTGGAGTGGAGTTTAGTGGAAGGTAAAGGAGTGGAGTGGAGTGGAGAGGAATGGAATAGAACGCAATGGAATGGAATGGAATGGACTCGAATGGAATGGAAACGAACTTAACGGAATGGAATGGAATTTAATGGAATGGAATGGAATGGAATCAAATGGAATTGAATTGAATGGTATGTGATGGAATAGAATGGAATCAAATGGAATGGAATGGAATAGAATCGAATGGAATGGAATAGAATTGAATGGAAGGGAATGTAATCAAATGTAATCAAATGGAATACAGTGAATTGGAGAGGACAGGAGGGAATGGAGTGGAATGGAATGGGGTGGAATAGAATTGAAGGTAGTGGAGTGGACTGGAGTTGAATGGAGAGGAATGGAACAGAATGGGAAGGAATGGAATTGAATGGATTGGAGTGGAGTGAAATGGGATGGAAGGGAGTGGAGTGGAATGGAATGGAGTGGAATGGAATGAAATGGAATGGAAAGGAATGGAATATAATGGAATGGACTCGAATGGAATGGAATGGAGGTGAATGCAATAGAATGGAATGGAATGAAACGAATGGAATGGAACCAAATACAATGGTATTGAAGGGAATGGAAACGAATGGAAGGGGAAGGAATGGAATGGAATGGAATGGACTCGAATGGAATGGACTGGAGGGCAATTGAATTGAATAGAATGGAATGGAATCAAATGGATTCGAATCTAATGGAATGGAAAGGAATCGAATGGAATGGAATGGAATCAAATGGATTCGAATCCAATGAAATGGAAAGGAATGGAATGGAATGGAATCGAATGGAATGGAATAGAATGGAATAGAGTTGAATGGAATGGAATCGAATGCAATAGACTGCAATGGAATGGAATCAAATGGAATGGAATTGAATCAAATGGAATGTAATTTAATGGCATTGAATGGAATCAAATGGAATGCAGTGAAGTGGATTGGAGTGGAGTAGAATTTAATGGAGTAATAAAAATGGAAGCAGAAGGCACGGAATTTAACGGAGTTGAGTGGAGTGGAGTAGAATGTACTGGAATGGAATGGAATGGAGTGGAATGGAATGGAATAGAATGGAATCGAAAGGAATGGAATCGAAAGGAAGGCAATCAAATGGAACGGAAACGAATGGAATGGAATCGAATGGAATTGATTGGAATGGAATGGAATGGAACGGAATGGAATGGACTCGAATCGAATGGATTGGATTGGAATGGAATGGAACGGAATGGAATGGACTCGAATGCAATGGAACTGAATTGAATGGAATCGAATGGAATGGAATCAAATGGAACATAATCAAATGGAATGGACTTGAATGGATTGCACTCAAATGTAATGGACTGTAACGGAATGGACTGGAATGTAATGGAATCAAATGCAATGTACTGCAATGGAATGGACTTGAAAGGAATGGATTCGAATGGACTGGAATCAAATGGAATGGATTCGAATGGAATGATATCAAATGACATTGAATGGAATCTAGTGGAATGTGGTGCAATGGAGTGGAATGGAGAGGAAAGGAGTGGAATGGAAATGGTTGGAATGGAATTGAATCCATTTGAGTGGAGTGGAGAGGAATGGAGTGGAATGGAATGGAATGGGATGGAATGGAATTGAACCGATATGAGTTGAGTGAAGGGGAGTGGAGAGGAATGAAATGGAATGGAGTGAATAGGAATGGAATGGAATGGAATGGAATGGAATGGAATGGACTCGAATCGAACGGACTGGAATGGAACAGACTGGAACGGAATGGAGTCAAATGGAACAGACTCGAATGGAATGGATATCAATGGAATGGTCTCGAATGGAATTGAATCGGATGGAATGGAATTGAATGGAATTGAATTGAATGAAACAGAATCGAATGGAATGGAATCGAATCGCATCGAATGGAATCAAATGGAATGCGGTGAAGTGGAATGGAGTGAAGTGGAATGGAGTGGAATGGAATTGGGTGGAATGGAATAGAATGGAGGGGAGTGGAGTGGAGTGGATAGGAATGCAATGGAATGGAATGGCATGATATAGATTGCAGTTGAGTGTAGTGTAGTGGATTGGGTTGGAGTGACATGCAGTGGAGTGGAGCTGAGTGGAGTGAAGAGGAATGGAATGGAATGGAGTTGAGTGGAATGGAATTGAATGGAATGTAATGGAATGGAATGGAGTGGAATGCCATGGAATGGAGTGGAAGGGAATGTAATGGAATGGAATGGAATGGAATGGAAAGGAATGGAATGGAATAGAGTGGAATGGAATGGGGTGGAAAGGAATGTAATTTAACTGAGTGGGG
>NT_187420.1:55454-63048 GCF_000001405.40 Homo sapiens
GAATGTAATGGACTCGATGGAAGGCACTCGAAGGGAGTGGACTGGCAATGGAATGGACTGGAATAGAATGGACTTGAATGGAATGGATTTGAATTGAATGGACTCGAAAGGAATGAACTCCCATGTAATGGACTCGAATGGAATGGAATATAATAGAAGGGACTCGCATGGAATGGACTAGAATGGAATGGAATAGAATGGAATGGAGTCGAATGGAATGGAATAGAATGGCATCAAAGGGAATACAGTGGAATGCGATGAGGTGGAGTGGAGTCGAGTGGAATGGATTGGAATGGAATGGGCTGCAATGTAATGAATGCAGTAGAGGGGAGTGGTGTCGAATGGATTTGAATAGAATGGAATGGTAAGGAATAGAATTGAACCGAGTTGAGTTGAGTGGAGTGGAATGGAGTAATATGCAAAGAATGGAATCCAGTGGATTGGAATGGAATGGGATGGAGTGGAGTTAAATGTAATGGGGTGGAAATAGTGGAATTGATTGGAATAGAGTGGAGTGGAGAGATGTGGAGTGGAGTGGAGTGGAATGGATTGGAGTGGAGTGGAGTGGAATGGAATGAAGTGAAATGTAGTGGAGTGGAGTGGAATGCAATAGAATGTAGTGGAGTGGAGGGGAATGGAGTGAAATGAAACAGAATTGTATTGAATGGAATTGAACAGAGTGGAGTGGAATGCGGTGGAGTGGAGTGGAATGCAGTGGAATGCAATGGAATGGAATAGAATGGATTGGAATGGAGTGGAATGGAATGGAATGGAATGGAATTTACTCGAATGTTATGGACAGGAATAGAATGGACTAGAAAGGAATGCACTCGAATGGAATGGACTTGAATGGAATGTCCCCGAATGGAACAGACTCGTATGAAATGGAATCGAATGGAATGGAATCAAATGGAATTGATTTGAGTGAAATGGAATCAAATGGAATGGCAACGAATGGCATCGAATGGATCAATTGAAAAGAGGAGTTGCATGGAATGGCTTCGAATTGAATCAAATGGAAACAAGTGGAGGGAGTGGAAAGTAGTGGCAAGAAATGGGGTGGAATGGAATTGAATGGATGGGAATGGAGACCAGGTAAGTGGAATGCAAAGGAACAGAATGGAATGGAGTGGAGTGGAGAGGAATATATTGAAATGGAATTGAAATGTATGGAATGAAATGGAGTGGAATTGAATTGAATGAAATGGAATGAAATGAAATGGAATGCACTGTACTGGAGTGGAGTGGAATGGAGTGGAATGGAGTGGAAGGGGATGGAATGGAATGGAGTGGAATGGAATGGAGTGGAATGGATTGGAATTGATTGGAGTGGAGTGGGGTGGATTGGAATGGAGTGGAATGCAATGGAATGGGAAGAAATGTAATTTAACAGAGTGGAGTGGAAAGGAGTGGAAAGAATGCTATGGAATGGAATGGAATGGAATGGAATGGAATGGAATGGAATGGAATAGAGTGGAATGGAATGGAATGGAATAGAGTGGAATAGAGTGGAATGAAGTGGAGTGGAGTGGAGTGGAATGGAATGGCAAGGAATGGAATTGAATGGATTGGAGTGGAGGTGAGGGGAGTGGAGTGGAGTAGTATGCAGTGGAATGGAATGGAATGGGTTGTTGTGGATTCGAGTGGAGTGGAGAGGAGTTGAGTGGAGTGGAATGGAATAGAGTGGAATGGAGTGGAGTGGAATGGAAAAGAGAGGAGTGGAATGGAATGGAATCGAATCGAATCGAATAGAATTTACAGGATGGAAATGGAATAGCAAGGAATGGACTCGAATGGAATGGACTTGAATCGAATGGCCTCAAATGGAATGGAATTGGATGGAATGGAATGGAATCGAATGAAATGTAACGGAATCAAATCGAGTGAAGTGGAAACGAATGGAATGGAATCAAATGGCATCTAATTGAGTCAAATAGAATGCAATGAATTGGAGAGGAGTGGAGGAGAATGGAGTGGAATGGAATGGATTGGAATGGAATTGAATGGACTGGAGTGGTGGTCATTGGAATGGAGGTGGAATGGAATGTATTGGGAAAGAATGGAATTGACCAGAGTAGAGTGGACTGCAGTGGAGTGGAGTAGAGTGGAGTGGAGTTTAATGGAGTGGAATGGAATGGAATGGAACAGACAGGAATGGAATGAAAAGGAGTGGAGTAAAATTGAGTGGAAATGAATAGAATGGACTGGAAATTAATGGCAAGGAATGGAATGGAATGTACTTAAATTGAGTGGACTCGAATGGAATGGACTGGAATGTAATGGACTGTAAAGGAATGGACACACATGGAATGGAATGTAAGGGAATGTAATAGAAAGGTATGGAATCAAATATAGTGGAATTGAATGGAATGGAATCAAATACAATGGAATCGAATGGTATGGAATCGAATGGCATTGAATGGAATCACATACAATGCTGTGAATTGGAGTGGAGTGGATTGGAATAGAGTGAAATGGAATGGAATGGGTAGGAATGGAATTGAACAGAGTGAAGTGGAGTGGAATAGAGTGGAATGGAATGCAATGGAATGAAATGGAATGGAATGGAATGGAATGGAATGGAATGGAGTGGAGGGGAGTGGATTGCAGTGGATTGGAGTGGAGTGTAATGGAGCAGAATGGAATGGAAAGGAATGGAATGGCATGGAGTGGAATGGAATGGAATGGGATGGAATAGAGTAGAAAGGAGTGGAATGTAGAGGAGTGGAGTAAAATGGAATGGAAAGGAATGGAATGGAATGGAGTGGAGTGGTGTGGAGTGGAGTGGGGTGGTGTGGACTGGAGTCGAGTGTACTGCAGTGGAGTGGAGTGGAATGGAATGGAATGAAATGGATTGCAATGGAATAGAATGGATTCTAGTGGAGTGCAATGCAATAGAGTGGAATGGAGTGGAATGGAAAGGAATGGAATGGAACAAAGTCAAGTGGAATGGAGTGTAGTGAAGTGGAATGGAGTGTAGTGAAGTGGAATGGAATGGAATGGACTCGAATGGAATGGATTGGACTGGAATTGAATGGACTCAAATGGAATGGACTGGAATGCATTGGACTCAAATGGAATAGACTCGAATGGAATGGACTCGAATGGAACAGAATCGAATGGAATGGAATCGAATGGAATGGAATTGAATGGAATGGAATCGAAAGGAATGGAATCAAATGGCATCTAATGGAATCAAATGGACTGCAGTGAAATGAAGTGGAGTGGAATGGAGTGCAATGGAGTGGAATGGAGTGGAATTGAATGGGGTGAAAGGGAATTGAATGGAGTGGAGTGCAGTGGAGTTGAATGGAGTGGAATGGAATTTAATTGGAAGGAATGAATTTGGACGGAATGGAGTGGAGTGGATTGGACTGGATTGCAATTGAATGGAGTGGAATGGAGTTGAGTGGAGTGGAGTGGAATGGAATGGAATGAAACGGAATGGAATGGAATGGAACGTACTGGAATGGAAAGGAATCGAATGGAAAAGAATGGAATGGAATCAAACGGAGTGGAATCGTGTGGAATGGAATCGAATGGAATGGAATCAAATAAAATGGAATCAAATGGAATTTAATCGAATGGCATCGAATGGAATCGAATGGAATGCGGTGAAGTGGAGTGGAGTGGAATGGAGTGGAATGGAATGGGGTGGAATGGAATGGAGTGGAGTGGAGTAGATAGGAGAGCAATGGAATGCAATGGAATGGAGTGGAGTGGAGAGGATTGGAGTGGAGAGGAATGTAATGGAATGGAATGGAATGTAGTGGAGAGGAATGGAGTGGAATGTATTTTAGTGGTGTGGATTGGAATGGAGTGGAATATAGTGGATTCGAGTGGAGTAGAAGGGAATTCACACAAGTGGAGTGCAGTGGAGTGGACTGGAAGGAGTGAAGTGGAATGGAGTGGAAAGGAATGGAGTGGAATTTAAAGGAATGGAATGGAGTAGAGTGGAGTTGCGTGAAGTTTAATGGAGTGGATTGGAGGGGAGTGGAGTGGAATGGATTTGAAAGGAGTGGTGTGCAGTGAAGTGGAGTGCATTGGATTGGAATGAAAAGGAATGCAGTGAAATGAAATGGAATGGTGTGGAATGGAATGGAATGGAAAGCAATTGACTTGAAGGGAATGGACTCAAATGGAATGGACTCTAATGGAATGGACTGGAATGGAATGGACTCGAATGGAATGGAATCAAATGACATCGACTGGAATCAAATGGAATAAGGTGCAGTGGAGTGGAGTGGAATGGAGTGGTATGCAATGGGGTGGAATGCGGTGGAATTGAATGAAATGGAATGGAATGGAATGGAGTGGAACGGATTTGAGTGGAATGGAGTGGAATGGAGTGGAGTGGATTCGAGTGGAGTGGGATGAAATGCACTTAAGTGGAGTGGAGTAGAGTAAAGTGAAATTTAGAGGAATGGAATGGAATGGATTTTCATGGATTGGAGTGTACTGGAGTGGATTGTAGTGGAGTGAAGTGTAATGTAGGGAAGTTGAGTGGAGTGGACTGGAGTGAAATGGAGTGGAATGGAGTTGAATGGAGTGCAGTGGAGTTGAATGTAATGGAATGGATTGCAGTGGAATGGAATGGAATGGAATTGAACGGAGTGGAATGGAATGGAATAGAAAGGAATGCAATGGAATGGAACTGAAAGGAATGGAATGGAGTGGAATCAAATGACATGGAACACAATGGCATGGAATCGATTGGCATCGAATGGAATCGATTGGATTGAGGTGAAGTGGAATGGATGGAGTGGAATGGAGTGGAATGGAATGGAGTGAAACGGAATTGTAATGGAGAGGAATGGAATTGTAATGGAGTGGTGTGGAGTAGAGAGGAATGGAATGGAATGGAAAGAAGTTGAGTGTAGGGAAGTGGAATTGAATGCTGTGGAATTGAATGGAATGGAATGCTACAAAATGGAATGGAGTGGAATGCAGTGGAATGGAATGGAGTGGTGTGGAGTGGAGTGGAGTTTAATGGAGTGAAACGGAAAATAATGGAATAGAATTGAGTGCAATGGCATGGAGTGGAGTGGAGTGGAGTGATTTGAAATGGAATGGAATGGATTGGAAAGGACTGCAATGGAATGGACTGGAAAGGAATGGAGTCGATTGGAATGGACTCAGAGGGAATGGACGCGGATGGAATGGATTCAAAAGGAATGGAACCGAATGGAATGGAATCGGATGAAATGGAATCGAATGGAATGCAATCAAATGGAATGGAATCCAATGGCATTGAATGGAATCGAATGGAATATGGTGAAGTGGGGTGGAGTTGAGTGGAATGGAGTGAAATGTAATGGAATGGGAAGGAATGGTATAGAATGGAGTGGATTGTACACGATTGGAGTGGCAGGTAGTGGAATGGAAAGGGGTGGAATGGAATTGAATGGAGAGGATTGGAGTGGGGTGGAATGGAGTGGAATGGAATGGAATGGGAAGGAATGGAATTTAACGGAGTGGAGTGGACTGGAATGGAGTGTAATGCAATGGAATGAAATGGAATGGAGTGGAGTGTAATGGACTGGATTGCCGTGGAGTGGATTGGAGTAGAATGGAATGGGGTGGAGTGTAATGGATTGGATTGGCGTGGAGTGGATTGGAGTGGAATGGAATGGGATGGAATGCAGTAGATTTCAGTGGAATGAAGTGGAATTGTGTGGAGTGGAGAGGAATAGAGTGGAATGGAATGGAATAGGGAGGAATGGAATTGAATGGAGTGGAGAGGAGTGAAGTGGAATGTAATGGAATGGAATCCAGAGGATTGGAATGGAATGGAATGGAATGGAATGTACTCCAATGGAATGGACTCAAATGGAATGAAATCGAATAGAATGCTATCGAATTGAATGTAATTGAAAAGAATGGAATAGAATGGCTTCGAATGGAATCGAATGGAATGTGGTGAAGTGGAGTGGAGTGCAGTGGAGTATAGTGGAATGGAATGCGGTGGAATGAATTTGAGTGGAGTGGAGTGGAATGCAGTGGAATGGAATGCAATGGGAAGGAATGAAGTCGTAGGGAGTGGAGTTCAGTGGAGTTGAGTGGAGTGGAATGCAATGGAACGGAATGGAATGGACTCAAATGGAATGGACTGGAATGCAATGGACTGGAATGGAATGGACTCAAATGGAAAGTTCTCAAATGGAAGGGAATCGAACGGAACGGAATGGAATGGAGAAGAATCGAATGGCATGCTAGCCAACGGAATGGAATCCAATGGAATGGAATTGAATGGAATGGAATCAAATGGCATCAAATGGATTCAAATGGAATGAGGTGAAGTGGAGTGGATTGGTATGGAATGCATTGGAATGGAATGGGGTGGAATGGAATTGAATGCAGTGGAGTGAGTGCAGTAGAATGTAGTGAAATTGAATGGAATGGGAAGGAATGGAATTGAATGGAGTGCAGTGGAGTGGAGTGGAGAGGAATGCAATGGAATAGAGTGGAGTGGAGTGGAGAGGAGATAAATGGTGTTGAGTGGAATGGAATGGACTCCAGTGGAGTGGAGTTGAGTGGATGGGAGATGAGCGGAATGGAGGGGAATGGAAAGGAATGGAATGGATTGGAGTGGAGTGGAGTGGAAAGGAGTGGAATGAAGTGGAATGGAATGGAGAGGAGGTGAGTGGTATGGAGTGGAGTGGAATGAAATGGAATGCAGTGGAATGGAGTGCAATGTAGTGGAATGGAGTGGAGTGGAATGGACTCAAATGGAATGGACTGAAATGGAATGGAGTGGAATGGAGTGGGCTCGAATGCAATGAACTCCAATCGAATGCACAGGAATGGAATGGACTCAAATAAATTGGAATGTAATGGAATTGAATCAAAAGGAATGGAATCGAATGCCACGGAGTTGAATGGAATGGAATTGAAAGGAATGGAATCAAATAGCATCGAATGGAATTGAATGGAACGTGATGATGTGGAGTGGAGTGCAGTGGATTGGAGTGGAATGGAATGGAGTGCAACAGAAATGAATGGAGTGGTGGGTAGTGGACTGGAACGGGGTGGAATGGAAGAGAATGGCAAGGAATGGAATTGAACACAGTGGAGTGGAGTGGAAAGGAGGGGACTGGGGTGGAATGCAATGGAATGTATTGGAGTGGATTGGATTTGAGTGGAAAGGAGTGGAGTGGACGGAAATTGAATGGAATGAACAGGAACGAAATGGACTGAAAAGGAATTGACTCGAATGGAATGGAATGGAATGGAATGGAATGGAATGGAATGGAATGGAATAAATGGAGTGGGATCGAATGGAATGGAATGGAATGGAATAGAATGGCATCGAATGGCATCGAATGGAATGTGTTGAAGTGGAGTGCGGTGGAGTGGATTGGCATGGATTGAAATTTGGTAGAACGGAATCAAATGGAGTGATGTGGAGTGCAGTGGAATGGAGTGGAATGGAGTGAGAGGGAATGGAATTCAATGGAGCGGGCTGGAGTGGAGTGGAGTGGAGTGGAATGCAAGATAATGTAATGGAATAGAGTGGAATGGAGTGAAGTCGCGTGGAATGGAGTGTAGTTGAATGGAGTGGAGTGGAGTAAAGTGGAATGGAATGGAGGGGAAT
>NT_187420.1:67464-72227 GCF_000001405.40 Homo sapiens
AGTGGAATGTAGCGAAATGTAAAGGAATGGGAAGGAATGGCATTGAACGGAGTGTAGTGGAGTGAAATGGAGATGACTGCAGGGTAGTGGAGTGGAGTGGATTGGAATAGAATGCACTGGAGTGGAAAGGAATGGAATGGAATGCAATGGAAGCGAATGGAATGGACTCATAAGGAATGGAATCAAATGGAGTGGAATCAAGTGGCATCAAATGGAAGTGAATGGAATGCTGTCAAGTAGAGTGGGGTGGAATGGAACGGAGAGGAATTTAATGGGGTGGAATGGAATTGAATGGAGTGGAGTGTAGTGAAATGGAGTGGAGTGGAATGGAATGGAGTGCAATGAGAGGAGCGGAGTGTAGTGGAGTGGAATCGAGTGGAATGGAATATAATAAAGTGGAGTGGAATGGAGATTAAAACAGGAGTGGAGTGGAGTGGAGTGGAAAGGAGTGGAGGGGAAAGGAGTGGAGTGGAGTGAAATGGAGTGGACTGGAGTGGAATGCAATGGAGTGGAGTTTAATGGAATAAAGTGGAGTGGACTGGAGTGGAGTGGAGTGAAAGATGCGGATTGCAATGGAATCGTGTGGAGTGGAGTTGATTTGAGTGGAGTGGAATGGAATGGATTGGAATGTAGTGGACTGGAGTGGAATGGAGTGGAGTGGAGTGAAATGGAATCTACTGAATTGGAGTAGAGTGGATTGGAGTGGAGTGGAATGAAGTGGAATGGAGTGGATTGGAGTGGAATGGAGTGGATTTGAGTGAAGTGGGATGGATTGGAATATAGCAGAGTAGAGTAGAATGGAATGGAGTGGAGTGGAGTGGAGAGGAGTGGAGTTCAATGGAGTGGATTCTAGTGCAGTGGAGTGGAATGGAGTGGAGTGGATTGGAATGGATTGGAGTGGAATGCTATGGAAAGTAGTGGAGTGTAGACGAGTGTAGTGGAATTGAATGCAATGGAATGGAAAGGACTGGAATGGACTGCACAGGAATTGAATGGAATGCAATGGAATGGAATTGAAAGGAGTGGAATCGAGTGGAAGGGAGTGGAATAGAAGGGAGAGAAGTCAAATGGAATGGAATGGAGTGGAGTGGACTGGAGTGGAATGTAATGGAATTGAATGGAATGGAATGAAATGGAAAGCTTTGGAATGGCTCAAATGGAATGGACTGGAATGGAATGGACTCGAATGGAAAGGAGTCGTATGGAATAGAATGAAATGGATTGGATTGGAATGGAATGAAATGGAATGGAATGGAATGGAAAGGAATGGAATGGAATGGAATCGAATGAAATGTACTTAAATGGAATGAACTCTAAAGGAATGGATTCGAATGGAAAGGAATCGAATGCAACGGAATTAAATGGCATGGAAACGAACGGCATCGAATGAAATCAAGCGGAATGCATTGAATTGGAGTGGAGTGGAATGGAGAGGAATGGAATGGATGGAGTGGAATTGAATGGAGTGGAGTGGAGTGGAGTTCAGCGGAGTGAAATGGAATGAATGGGAAGGAATAGATCTGAACGGAGTGGAATGGAGTGGAGTGGATCAGACTAAAATTGAACAGACTGGAATGGAATGGAACGGAATGGAATGCACTCGAATGGAATGGACTCGAATGGAATGGAATCGAATGGAATTGAATCGAATGGAGTAGAAAGGAATCGATTGGAATCGAATGGAATTTCTAGAAGTGGAGTGGATTGGTGTTGAACAGAGTGGAATGGAATGGGGTGGGATGGAACAGAATGGAGTGGAGTGGAAGGTAATGGAGTGGAATGGAATGGAATGAGAAGGAATGGACCTGAACAGAGTGGATTGGAATGCAATGGAATGGAGTGGAGAGGAGTGCAGTGATGTGGAGTGGAGGTGAATGCAATGGATTGGAATGAGCTGGAATTGAATGGACTTGAATAGAATGGACAGGACTGAAATGGAAAGGAATGCAGTGGAATGGAATGGAATAGAATAAAAAGGATTGGAATTGACAGGCATCGAATGGGATCAAGTGGAATGTGGTGAAGTGGAGTGGAGGGGGATGGAATGGAATGGAATGTCCTGGAATGGAATTGAATGGAGCGGAGTGGAGTGGAATGCGGTGGAATGGAATGGAATGGGAAGGATTGGAATTTAACTGAGTGGAGTGGAGTGGAGTGGAATGGAGAGGAATGGAATGGAGAGGAATGGAATGGACAGGACTTGAATGGAATGGAATGGAATTGAATGGATTTGAATGGAATGGAATTGAAAGGAATGGAATTGAATGTAATGGAATCAAATGGAATGGAATTGAATGGACTGAAATTGAATGAAATGGAATTGAATGGAATGGAATTGAAAGGAATGGAATCGAATGGAATGGAATCGAATAGAATGGAATCAAAAGGAATTTAATAGAAGAGAATGCAATAGAAGGGAATGGAATGGAATGGAATGGAATGGCTTCGAATGAAATCGAAAGGAATGCGGTTATGTGGAGTGAAGTGGAATGGAATGGAGTGGAATGGAATGGGGTGGAATGGAGTTGAATGTGGTGGAGTAGAGTGGAGTATAATGGAGTCGAATGGAATGGGAAGGAATGGAATTGAAAGGAGTGGAGTGGATTGGAGTGGATTGTAATGCAATGGAATGGATTGGAGAGGAGTGGAGTGGAGTTGAATAGCGTGTAATGGCATGGAATGGAGTGGAATGGAATAGAATAGAATGGAATGTAATGGTGTTGAGTGGATTGGAGTGGAGTGGAATGGAGTGGAATGGCATGGAATGGAATTGAATGGAATGGAATTGTGCAGAGTGGAGAGGATTCAACTGGAATGCAGTTGAATGGAAAGGAATGGAATGCAATGGAAAGGAATGCAGTGGATAGGAGTGGAATGACATGGAAAGGAACGGAATGGAATAGAATGGAATGGGAAGGAATGGAATTGAACTAAATTGTTGTGAAGTGGAGTTGAGTGGAATGGAATGGAATGGAATGGTATGAAATAGAACAGAACCGAGTGGAAAGGAGTGGAATGATATGAAAAGTAAAGGAATGGAATAGAATGGAATGGGAAGGAATGGAATTGAACAAATTGGAGTGAAGTGGAGTTGAGTGGAATGGAATGGAATTGAATGGAATGGAATGGAATGGAATGGTATGGAATGGAATGGAGTGGAAAGGAGTGGAATGATATGAAAAGTAAAGGAATGGAATAGAATGGAATGGGAAGGAATGGAACTGAACAAATTGGAGTGAAGTGGAGTTGAGTGGAATGGAATGGAATGCAATGGAATGGAAAGGAATGGAATGCAGTGGAATGGAGTCAAAAGGAATATAGCGTAGTGGATTTGGGTGGAGTGGAATGAAATGGAATGGAAAGGAAGGGAATGGAAGCCAAGGAAATGGAATGGAATGGAATGGAATTGAAAGGAATGGACTCAAATAGAATGGACTCGAATGGAATGCACCAGAATGGAATGGACTGGAATGGAATGGAATGCACTCGAATGGAATGTAATCAAACTGGAATGCAATCTAATGGGATGGAATCTAATAGAATGGAATAAAATGGAATGGAAAAAAATGGAATGGAATCGAATGGAATGGAATTGATTAGCATTGAGTGGAATCGAATGGAATACGGTGAAGTTGAGTGAATTGGAAGAGTGGAATGGAATGGGGTGGAATGGAATTGAATGGATAGGAGTGGAGTGGAGTGGAATCGACTGGAAAGGAATGGAATGGGAAGGAATAGAATTGAACAGAGTGGAGTGGAGTGGAGTGGAATGCAATGGAATTTAAAGGAATGGAGTGGAGTGGAGTGAAGATTTGAGTGGAACGCAATTGAATGGAATGGAATGCAGTGATGTGCAGTGGAGTGGAGTGGAGTGGATTGGAATGGAGTGGAGGGGAATGGAATGGAGTGGAATGGAGTGGAGTGGATTTGAGTGGAGTGGAATGGACTGGATAGGAATGGAATGCAATGGAATTGAAGGGATTGCAATGGAACGGAAAGGAACCGAATGCAATGGAATGGAATGGAATGGATTGGAGTGGAGTGGAGTGCAGTGGAGTGAAATGCAAGTTAAAGGATTGAAATAAAATGGAGTGGAGTGGAGTGGAATGGATTGGAGTTGATTGGAGTGGAGTGGACTGGAATGGATTGGAGTGGAGTGGAATGAACTGCAGCGGAGTGCAAAAGAATGGAATGGAAAGGAATGGAGTGCAGTTGAGTGGAGTGGAATGGAATGGAATAGAGTGGAATGGAATGGAATAGAGTGGAATGGAATGTAATCAAATGGAATGGACTGCCAAGGAATGGACTTGAATAGAATGGACTCGAATGAAATGGAATCTTACAGAATGGAGTCAAAAGGAATGGATTCGAATGGAATGTAAGCGAGTGGATTGGAACCGAATGGCATTGAACGGATTCGAATGGAATGATGTGTAGTGGAGTGGAGTGGAGTGAAATGGAATGAGGTGGAATGGAGTTGAATAGAGTGGAGTGGAGTGGAAGGAATGGAATGGAATGGAAAGGGAAGTAATGGAATTGAACAGAGAGGAGTGGAGAGGAGTGGCGTGGAGGGGAGTTGAGTTCAATGCAATGGAACGGAATGAAGTGGAGGGGAATGGAGTGGAGTGTAATAGAATGGAGTAGACTGGATTGGAATGGAGTGGAGTGGAATAGATTGGAATGGAGTGGAGTGGAGTGGAGGGGAATGGAATGTAATGGAAAGGAATGGAGTGGAGTAAAGTCGAGTGGAGTGGAGTGGAATG
>NT_187420.1:74287-87539 GCF_000001405.40 Homo sapiens
AAATAAATGAAATGAAATGGAGTGGACTCGAATGGAATGGACTAGATTCGAATGGAATGGAAAAGAATGGAATGGAATCGAATGGAATGTGATTTAATGGAATGGACTCCAATGGAGTAGACTCAAATGTATGGAATCAAATGGAATGGAATAGAATGCAATGGAATTGAATGGAATGGGATTGAATGGAAAGGGATCAAATAGAATGGGATCGAATGGAATGGAATCGAATGGAATGGAATCGAATGGCATCAAATGTAATCGAATACAATGCAGTGAACTGGATTGGAGTTGATTGGAATGGAGTGGAATGGAATGGGGTTGAATGGAATTGAATGGAGTGGAGTGGAGTGAAAGCCAGTGGAAAGAAATGGAATGGGAAAAAATGGAACTGAACTGAGTGCAGAGGATTGGAGTGGAATGGAATGCAATGGAAGGGAAAGGAGTGGAGGGGAAGGGAATGGATTGGAGTGGAGTGGAATGTAAGGGAATGGAAAGGAATGGAGTGGAATCGAATGGACTCGAGTGGAATAAACTCGAATGGAATGGACTCGTGTAGAATGGACGCGAATGGAATGGACTCGAGTGGAATGGACTCGATTCGAAAGGACTCTAATGGAATGGACTAGAATGGAATGGAATAGAATGTAATGAAATGGAATGGAATAGTATGGAATAGAATGGACTCGAATGGAATGGACTGGAATGGAATGGATTCGAATGGAATGGACTGAAAGGGAATGTACTCGACTTGAATGGACTCGAATGGAATGGAATCAGATAGAATGGAATTGAATGCAATGGATTGGAATGCAATAGAATGGAATGGAATGAAATCGAATTAAATTGAATGGATTCAAATGGAATTGAATCAAATGCAATGGAATGGAATAGAATGAAGAGGAATAGAATAGAATGGAATAAAATGGAATGGACGCAAATGGAATGACTCGAATGGAATGAGATCAAATGGAATGAAATTGAATGGAATGGAATTGAATGAAATTGAATGGAATACGGTGAAGCAGATTGGATTGGAGTGGAAAGGAGTGGAATGGAATTGAATGGAGTGGAGCGGAGTGGAATGGAGTGTAATGTAATGGAATTGGAAGGAATGGAATAGAACGGATTGGACTGGAGCGGAGGGGATTGGAATGGAATGCAATGGAATTGAAGACAATGGAATGGAATGGAATGGAATGGATTGGAATGGAATGGAGTAGAATGGAGTAGAGAGAAATGGAAAGGAGTGGAGTAGAGAGGAATGGAATGGAATGGACTCGAGTGGAACGGACTCAAATGGAAGGGAACCGAATGGAATGGAATCACACGAAATGGAATGGAATGGAATGGAATGGAGTGATAACGAATGGAATGGAATGGAATAGAATGGATTTGAATTTATTGGACTCGAATGGAATGGACTCGAAGGGAATGGAATTGAGTTGAATGGAATCAAAAGGAATGCAATGGAAAGGAATGGAATCGAATAGAATGGAATTGAATCGAGTGGACTGGAATGGGATAGAATAAAATGGAGTAGACTGGAACACAATGGAATAGAATGGAATACAATCAAACCGAACGGAATGAAATGGAATGGAATGGAATGGAAAGGTATGGAATGGCATGGAATCGAATGGAACGGAAATGAAAGGAATGCAATCAAACGTAATGGAGTCGAATGGAATGGAATCTAACGGAATGGAATCAAATGGCATTGAATGGAATCGAATGGAATCAAACGGTATCAAATGCAATGCAGTGAATTGGAGTGGAGTGGGATGGAGTGGAATGGAATGGAATTGATTTGATTGGAGTGGAATGGAGTGGAATGGAATCGAATGAAATGTAATGGAGTGGAATTGAGTGAAATGCATTGGAATGGAATGGAGTCGAATGGAATGGACTGGAATGGAATGCACTCGAATGGAATGGACTTTAATGGGATGGGATGGAATAAAATGGAATGGAATGGAATCGAAAGGAATGGAATGGAATGGAATGGAATGAAATGAAATGGAATGGAACGAAATGCAATCGAACGGAATGGAATTGAAGAAAATGGAATTGAACACAATGGAATAGAATTAAATGCAATGGAATGGAAAGGAATGGACTCCAATGGAATGGACTCGAATGGTATGGACTCGAATGGAATAGTATTGAAAGGAAGGAGTCTAATAGAATGGAATCGAATGGAATGCAATCAAGTGGAATGGAATCCATTGTCATAGAATGGAATCGAATGAAATCAAAAGGCATCAAATGGAATGCGGGGAATTAGAGTGGGGTGGAATGGATTGGAATGGAATGCGGTGGAATGGAATTGAATGAAGTGGAATGGGGTGTAGTTGAATGGAGTGGAAGGGAATGGAATGGAGTGGAATGGTGTGGAATGGAGTGGAATGAAGCAGAATGGAATAGACTGTAAAGGAATGGACGGGAATGGAATGGACTCGAATGGAATGGAATGGAATGGAATGGAATGGAATGGCATGGACCCAAAGAGAATGGAATCGAATGAAATGGAATTAAAAGGAATGGAATAGAATGGATTGGAATGGAATGGAATTGACTCGAATGTAGTAGAATGGAACAAAACGGAATTGAATGGAATGGAATCGAATGGACAGGAATGGAATAGAATGGAATCGATTGGAATAGAATCGAATGGAATAGAATCAAATTGCACTGAATGAATTGAATGGAATGCTGTGAAGGGTAGTGAAGTGGAGTGTAATAGAATGGAATGGAATGGAGTGGAGAGGAATGGAATGGAGTGGAGTGGATTGGAGTGGAATGGAATGCAATGGACTCAAGTGGAATGGAGTCAAATGGAAGGGACTCGATTGGAATAGAATCGAAAGGAATGGCATTGAATGGTATGGAATGGAATGGAATGGAATGGAAATAATGGAAAGGAATGGACTCGTATGGAGTAGACTGTAACAGAATGGAATCGAATGTAATGGGCTAGAATGGAAGGGACTCAAATGGAATGGAATCGAATGGAATGGACTCAAAAGGAATGGACTCGAGAGGAATGGAATTGAAAGGAATGGAATCGATTGGAATAAAATCGAATGGTAAGCAATAGTATGGAATGGAATCGAATGGAACGGACTCAAAAGGAATGGACTCGAGAGGAATGGAATTGAAAGGAATGGAATCGATTGGAATAAAATCGAATGGTAAGCAATAGTATGGAAACGAATCGAATGGAATATAATCGAATGGAATGGACTGGAGTGGAGAGGACTGGAAAGGAATGGACTCGAATGGAATGCATTGCAATGGAATGGACTCAAATGGAATGGAATCGAATGGAACAGAATCGAATCAAATGGAATCGAATGGAATGGAATGCAAGGGAATGCAATGGAATTGAACAGAATGGAATTGAATGGAATGGAATCCATCGGAATGGAATGGAATGGAATGGAATGGAATCAAACAGAATGGAATGTAAGAGAATAGACTCAAAGGAATGGAATTGAACAGAATGGAATATAATGGAATTGAATCAAATAAAATGGAGTAGAATGGAATGGAATCAAAAGCAATGGAATCGAACAGAATGGAATAAAATGGCATCAAAAGAAATCTAATGGTATGTGGTTAAATGGAGTGGAGAGGAATGGAATGGACTGGAATGGAATGGGGTGGAATGGAATTGAAAGGGGTGGAGTGGGGTGCAGTGGAATGGAGTTGAATGGAACGAAATGGGAAGGACTGGAATTGAATGGAGTGGAGTGCAGTGGAGTGTAATGCAATGGAAAGGAAAGGAATGGAGTGGAGTGGAATCGAGTGGAGTGGAATGGAGTGGATTGCCATAGAATGCAATGGAATAGAATGGAATGGAATGGAATGGGAAAGAAGAGAATTGATCAAACTGGAATGAAGTGGAGTTGGGTGGAATGGAATGGAATGGAATGCAATGAGTGGAATGAAGTGGAATGGAATGGAATGGAATGCAATGAGTGGAATGAACTGGAATGGAAAGGAATGGAGTGGAGTGGAGTGGAGTGAAGTGGAGTGGTGTGGAATGCAATTGAATGTAAAGGAATGGAGTGATGTGGAGTGGAGTGGAGTGAGTGGAGTGTAATGGAGTGGAACAGGGAGGAGTGGAGTGGAGTGGAATGGAGGGGAATGCAATGGAATGGAATGCAATGGAGTAGTGTGGGTTGGAGTGGAGTGGAATGGAGTGGAATGGAATGGAATGGAATGCAATGGAATAGAATTGAGTGGAATCAATCGAAAGGATTATAATGGAATGGAATGATTGGAATGGAATGGAAGGGAGTGGAATTGAACAGAATGGAATGTAACTGAATGCAATGTAAAGGAGTGGAATTGAACGGAATGGAATGTAACTGAATGCAATGTAATGGAGTGCAATGGAGTGGAGTGGATTGGAGTGGAGTGGAGTATAGTGGAATGGACCGGAGTTGAGTGGAGTGGAGTGGACTGGAATGGAGTGGAGTGGAATGGAATGGAGTGCTGTGGAGTGGATTGGAGTGGAGTGGGATAGAATCAAATGGAATGGAATGGAGTGGAGTGGAGTGGAACGGAATGGAATGGAATGGAATAGAATGGAATTCAAAGGAATGGACAGGAAAGGAATTGACACGAATAGAATGTACTCGAATGGAATGGAATCGTATGGAATGGAGTCAATTGGAATGGATTTGAATGGAATGCAATCGAGTGGAATGGAATCGAATGGCATCAAATGGATTCGAATGCAATGCGGTGAAGTGAAGTGGAGTGGAATGCAATGGAATGAAATGGGGTGTAACAGAACTCAATGGAGTGGAGTGTAATGTATTGGAATGGAAAGGAAAGGGAAGGAATGGAATTGAACAGAGTAGTGTGGAGTGGAGTAAAGTGGAGTGTAAAGGAAGGCAATGGAATGGAATGGAATAGAATGGAATGGAGTTGAATTCAGTGGAATGGAATGGAATGGACTGGAATGGAATTGAATGGAGTGGAGTGGAGTAGAACAGAATGGAATGGAAGGCAATGGAATGGACTCAGATGGAATAGACAAAAATGAAATGGAATCGATTGGAATGGAATGGAATGGTCTCGAAAGGAATAGACTGTAATGGAATGGACTGGAATGGAATGGATTCAAATGGAAAAGACTGGAATGAAATGGACTTGAAAGGATTGGACTGGAAAGTAATGGACACGAATGAAATGCAATCAAATGCAAAGCAATTGAATGGAATGTAATCGAATGGAAAGGAATCGAGTGCAATGGATTCGAATGGAATGGAATGGAATCGAATGGAATGGACTGGAATGGAATGGAATCGAATGGAATGGATTCCAATGGAATGGAATGGAAGGGAATGGAATTGAAAATAATGGAATAGAAAGGAAAGCAATGGAATGGAAAAGAATAGAATGGAGTGGACTCGAATGGAATGGAAAAGAATGGAATGGAATCAAATGGAATGGATTCGAATGGAAAGGAATAGAAATTTATGGCATCGCATGGAATTGAATGGAAACGAATGGCATTGAATGGAATCGAAAACAATGCAGTGAAGTGGAGTGGAGTGGAGTGGAATGGAGTGGAATTCAGTGGGGTGGAATGGAATTGAAAGGAATGGAACAGAGTGGAATGGAATGGGGTGGAATGGAATGGAAGGAGAAAGAATGGATTTGAATGGAGTGGAGTGGAGTGGACCTGAGTGGAATGCACTGGAATGGAATGGAGTAGAGTGGCGTGGAGGGTAATATAATAGAAGGTAGTGGAATAGAGTGAGGTGGATTGTAGTGGAGTGGAGTGGAATTGAATGGAATGGAGGGGAGTTGAAAGGAATGGAATGGAATGGAATGGATTGGAGTGGTGTGGAGTGGAGTGAAGTAGAGTGCAATGCAATGAAATGTAATGTAATGGAATGGAATGGACACGAATGGAATGCTATCGAATGGAAAGGAATCGAATGGCAATGAATGGAATCGAATGGAGTGCAGTGAAGGGGAATGGATGGCAGTGGAACGGTGTGGAGTCGAGTGATGTGGAAAGGAATTGAATGGAGTGGAGTGTAGTGGAATGAAGTGGAATCGAATGGAATTGTTAGTAACGGAATTGAATGCAGTGGAGTGCAGTGGAGTGGAGTGGAATGGAATGTAACGGAATGGAATGAAATGGAGTGGAATTGAGTGGAATTGAATGACGTGGACTGGAATGGAATGGAATGGATTGGAGTGGATAGGAACGGAATGGAATGGATTCAGATGGAATTGAAACTAACGGAATGGAATTGAAAGTAATGAAATTGAATGGAATGGAATGGACTCGAATAGAATGGACTGGAAAGCAATGGAATACAAGGGAATGGAATCGAACGGAATGAAATGGAATGGAATGGAATGGAATGGAAAGGAATGGAATGGCATGGACACGAATGGAATGGAATCGAAAGGAATGGAATCAAACGTAATGGAGTTGATTGGAATGGAAAAGAATGGAATGGAATCGAATGGCATCAAACGGAATCGAATAGAATCAAGTGATATCGAATGGAATGCAGTGAAGTGGAGTGCAGTGGAATGCAGAGGAATGGAATGAGGTGGAATGGAATTGAATCGAGTGGAGTAGAGTGGAGTGGAATGGAGTCGAATGTAATGGAATGGTGTGGAATGGTGTGGAATGCAGTGGAATGGAATGGAATTGAATTGAATCGACAGGAATGGAATGCACAAGAATGGAATGGAATGGAATGGAATTGAATTGAATGGACAGGAATGGAATGCACACGAATGGAATGGAATGGAATGGAATGGAAAGGAATGGAATACCATAGAATCAAATGTAATGGAATGGAAACGGAAGGAATGGAATTGAATGGAATGGACTCGAATGGAATGGAACGGAATGGAATGGAACGGAACGAATTGGAATAGAATGGATTGGAATCAAATCAAATGGAATGGAATTGAACGGAATGCTATCGAATGGAATGCAATTGAATGGAATGGAATTGAATGCAATGGAATCGAATGCAATGGAATGGAATGGAATGGAATGGAATGGAATGGACACGAACGGAATGGACTGGAATGGAATAGAATCGAATGGAATGGATTCTAACAAAACGGAATGCAATGGAATGGATTGGAATGGAATGGAAAGGAATGGAATGGAATGGACTCGAATGGTATGGAATCTAATCGAAAGTTATCAAATGGAATGGAGTCGAATGGATTGGAATCAAATGTAATGGAATCAAATGGAATGAAATCGAATGGCATCGAATGGAATCGAATGGAATCAAATGGCATCGAATAGAATGGGGTGAAGTACGTTGGAGTGGAGTGGAATGGAGTGGAATGGAATGGGGTGGAAGGAATTGAATGGAGTGGAATGGAGTGAAGTGGAATGGAGTGGACTGGAATGGAATGGAGTGGACCCGAATATAATGGACTGGAATGGAAAGGACTGGAACGGAATATACTAGAAAAGAATGGAATCAAATGGAATGCAATCTATTGGAATGGAATCGAATGGAATGGAGTGGAATGGAATCGAATGGAGTGGAGTCAAATGGAATGGAACCAAAAGAAATGGAACTGAATGGAAAGGAATCGATTGGCATCAAATAGAATCGAATGGAATGCGGTGAAGTGGAATGGAGAGGATTGAAATGGAGTGGAATGGAATGTGTTGGATTGTAATTGAATGTATAATAGTGGAGTGGAGTGGAATCGAGAGAAATGGAATGCAATGGGAAGTAATAGAATTGAACGGATTGGAGTAGAGTGGAATGGAATGGAGTGGAGAGGAGTGGAGTGGAGAAAATTGGACTGGAGTGGAATGCAAATGAATGGAATGGATTGGAATGGACTGATGTGCAATGGTGAGGAGTGGAGTCGATTGGAATGGAGTGGAACTGGGAGGAGGGGAGTGGAGTGGAATGGAGAGGAGTGGAATGGAATGGAGAGGAATGGAGTGGAGTGGATTTGAGTGGAGTGGAATGGAATGGAATGGAATGGAATGCAAAGGAATCGAATGGAATGGAATGGAATCGAATGGTAGGGAACAGAATGGAATGGAATGGATTGGAAATGAAATGGAATGGAACCGATTGCAATGGAAAGGAATGGAATGGAATGAAATGGAGTGGAGTACACTGGAGTGAAATGCAATGGAATGGAATGGAATGGAGTGGAGTGGAATGGAATGGAATGGAGATTAGTGGAGTGGAGTGGACTGGAATGGAGTGTTGTGGAATGGAATGGATTGGAGTTTAGTGGACTAGAGTGGAGTGGGATAGAATGGAATGGAATTTAATGGAATGGAGTGGAGTGGAATGGAATGGAATGCAATGGAATGGAATGGAGTGGAATGGAATGGAATGGAATGCAATGGAATGCAATGGAATGGAATGGAGTGGAATGGAATGGAATCAAATGTAGAGGAATTGAATGGAATGGATTCGAATAGAATGGACTCGAATGGAATGAAATCGAACGGAGTGGAGTGAAATGGAATGGAAACGAAAGGCATCGAACGGATTCGAATGGAATGTGGTAAAGAGGAGTGCAGTGGAATGAAGTGGAATGCAATAGGGTGTAATGGAATAGAATGGAGTGGAGTGGAGTGGAATGGAGTGGAATGTACTGGAAATGAAAGAAAGTAATTGAACAGAGTGGTGTGGAATGGAGTGAGGTGGTGTCAAATGGAATGAAATGGAATGGAATGCAACGGAATGGAATGGAAAGGATTCGAAAGGAATGGACTCGAATGGAATGGAATCGAATGGAATGAAATCAAACGGAATGGAATCGAACTGCATCAAATATAATTTAATGGAATCAAATGGAATGTGGTGAAGTGGAGTGGAGTGAAGTGGAATGAAGTAGAATGGAATGGGTGGAATGTATTCGAAAGGATTGGAGTGGAGTGGATTGGAGTGCAATGGAATGGAAAGGGAAGGAATGGAAATGAACGTAGTGGAGCGGAGTTGAGTTGAGGGAAATGCAATGGAATCGAAAGTAATGGAGTGGAGTGCAGAGGAGTGGAATGGAGTGGAATTCAATGGAATGGAATGGATTGTTGTGGAGGCGAGTGAAATAGAATGGAATGGAGTGGACTGGAGTGGAGTGGAGAGGATGGAGTGGAGTGTATTGGAATGGAGTGGAGTGGAGTTCAGTGGCGAGAAATGCAATGGAATGGAATGGAATGGACTTGAATGGAATGGAATCAAATGGAATGGAATAGAATGGCATCGATTGAAATCGAATGGAGTGTGGTGAGGGGGAGGGAAGTGGACTCGAATGGAATGGACTGGAATGGAAAGGACACGATTGGAATGCAATGAAATGCACTGCCATTGAATGGAATGTAATCGAATGGTATGGAATCGAGTGGAATGGAATCGAGTGGAATGGAATCGAATGGAATAGAAATAACTCGAATGGTAAAGACTGGAATGGAATGAACTCCAATGGAATGGAATCCAATGGAATGGATTCAAAAGGTATGGAATGAAATGGAATGCAATGGAATGCAATGGAAAGCAATTGAATGGAATGGAATGGAATGGAATGGATTATAATGTAATGGAATTCAATGGAATGGATTCTAATGAAATGGAGTGGAATCGAATGGAATCGAATGAAAAGGAATTGAATGGAATATAATGGAATGGAAAGGAATAGAATGGAGTGCAGTCGAATGGAATGGAATCAAATGGAAAGGAATTCAATGGAATGGATTAGAATGGAATGGAATGGAATGGAATGGCATTGAATTGAATTGAATGGAATCAAAAGGCATCGCATGCAATGGAACACAATGCATTGAAGTGGAGTGCAATGGAGTGGAATGCAATGGGGTGGAAAGGAATTGAAAATATTGAATTGGGGTGAAGAGAAAAGGAGTGGAAAGGAATGGAAGGGGAAGGAATGGAATTGAATGGAGTGGAGTGCAGTGTAGTTGAGTGGAATGGAATGGAATGGAATGGAATGGAATGGAGTAGAATTGAGTTGAAATTTATGGAGTGGAGTGGAATGGAGTGGAATGGAATGGACTCGAATGGAATGCACTGGAATGGAATGCATTCAAATGACATGGAATGGAATGGAATGCAGTTGAATGGAATGCAGTTGAATGGAATGGAAAGGGATTGAATGTAATTGTACGGTATGGAATGGAATGAACTGGAATGAATGCAAAGGAATGGAAAGGTAGGTAAAAGAAAGGAACGGAACGGATGGGAATGAAGAGGCCTAGAACGCAATAGAATGGAATGGAATCAAACCCAGTGGAATGGAATGGAATGGAAGGGAACGGAATGGAATGGAAAGGAATGGAAGGGAATGGAATGGAATGGAATGGAAGGGAATGGAATGGAAGGGAATGGAATGGAATGGAATGGAATGAAATGGAAGGGAATGTAATGGAATGGAATGAAATGGAATGAATGGAATGCAATGAAATGGAATCAACACGAGTGGCATGGAATAGAATGCAGTGCAATGGAATGGGATGGAATGGAAAAGAATGGAATGCAATAGAATGCTATGGAATGGAATGGAATGAAGTGGCCTCTAATGCAATAGAATGGCATGGCATGGAATGGAATGGAAAGGAATGGAACGGAATGCAATAGAATGGAATGGAATCAAATAGAGTGGAATTTAATGGAGTGGAATGGAATGGAATGGAATGGAATGGAAAGGAATTCAATGGAATGGAATGTTAAGGAATGGAATGGAATGGAATGGAATGGAATGGAATGGAATGGAAAGGAAAGGAATGCAATAGAACAGAATGGAATCAATTCGAGTGGAATAGAACAGAATAGAATGGAATGCAATGGAATGGAATGGATTGGAATGGAATGGAATGGATTGGAATGGAATGGAATGGAATGGAATGCTATAGAATGGAATGGAATGAAGTGGCCTCGAATGCAATAGAATCAACCCGAGTGGAATGGAATGGAATGTAACGGAATGGAATGGAATGGAATACAACGGAATGGAATGGAATGGAATGCGATACAATGGAATGGAATCAACACGAATGGAAGGGAATAGAATGTAATGGAAGGGAATGGATTGGAATGCAATGGAATGAAATGGAATGCAATGGAATGGAATGGAATGCAATAGAATGGAATGGAATTAACTCGAGTGGAATGGAATGGAATGGAATTTAATGGAATGCAATAGAATGGAATGGATTAAACTCGAATGGAATGGAGTGGAATGGAATTGAAAGGAATTGAATGGAATGCAATAGAATGGAATGGCATCAACTAGAGATGGAATGGAATGGAATGGAAAGGTATGCAATGGAATGCAACAGAATGGAATGGAATCAACTCGAATGGAATGGAATGGAATGCAATAGAGTGGAATGGAATCAACTCGAGTGGAATGGAATATAATGGAATGGAATAAAATGGAATGCAATACAATGGAATAGAATGGAATAAACTCGAGTCGAATTGGAAGGAATGGAATGGAATGGAATAGAATGGAAGGGAATCGAATGTATTTGCATTGAATGGACTTGAAAAGAATGGAATGGAAAGGAATGGAATGGTATGAAGTGGCCTCGAATGCAATAGAATGGAATGGAAACAACTCGAGTGGAAAGGAATGGAATGGAATGGAATGGAAGGGAATGGAATGGAATGGAATGGAATGGAATGGAATGGAATGGAATGGAATGGAATGGAATCCACTCGAGTGGAATGGAATGGAGTGGAATGGAATGGAATGTTTTGGAATGGAATTGAATGTAATAGAATGGAATGGAATAAACTCGAGAGAAATGGAATGAAATGTAATGTAAAGGAATAGAATTGAGTGCAAGAGAATGGAATGGAATCAACTCTGGTGGAATCGAATTGAATGGAATGTAATATAATGTAATTAATGGAATGGAGTGGAATGGAATGGACTGGAATGCAATTGAATGGAATGTAATCAACTCGATTGGAATGGAATGGAATGGAATGGAATGGAATGAAGTGGCCTTGAATGCAATAGAATGGAATGGAATCAACTCGAGTGGAATACAACGGAAGTAATGGAATGGAATGGAACGGAATGAAATAGAATGGAACGGAATGGAATGACATGAACTGGCCTCGAATTCAATAGAATTGAATGGAATCAAACGAGTGGAATGGAATGGAATGGATTGGAATGGAATAGAATGGAATGGAACCAACTCGAGTGGAATGGAATGGAATGGAATGACATGCAATGGAATGGAAAGGAATGGAATGGAATGGAATGGAATGGAATGGAATGCAATGGAATGGACTGGAATGGAATGCAATGGAATGGACTGGAATTGAATGCAATAGAAAGGAATGGAATCAACTCGAGTGGAAAGCAATGGAATGGAATGGAATGGAATCAACCGGAGTGGAATGGAATGGAATGGAATGGAATGCAATAGAATGGAATGTAATGTAATGGAATGCAATAGAGTGGAATGGAATGGAATGGAATGGAAATTAATGGAATGCAATAGAATGGAATGGAATCAACAGGAGTTGAATGGAATGGAATGGAATGGAATGGAAAGCAATAGAATGGAATGGAATCAACTCGAGTGGAATCGAATGGAATGGAATCTAATATAATGTAATTAATGGAATGGAGTGGAATTGAATGGAATGGATTGCAATTGAATAGAATGTAAACAACTCGATTGGAATGGAATGGAATGGAATGGGATGGAATGGATTGGGATGGAATGGAATGGAATTGGATGGAATGGAATGGAATGGAAAGGAATGGAATGGAATGGAGTGGAATGAAGTGGCCTTCAATGCAATAGAATGGAATAGAATCAACTCGAGTGGAATACAATGGAAAGTAATGGAATGGAATGGAATGGAATGCAATAGAATGGAATGGAATGGCATGAAGTGGCCTCGAATTCAATAGAATTGAATGGAATCAAATCGAGTGGAATGGAATGGAATGGAATGGAATAGAATGGAATGGAACAAACTCGAGTGGAATGGAATGGAATGGAATGAAATGGAATGGAATGGAAAGGAATGGATTGGAATGGAATGGAATGGAATGGAATGCAATGGAATGGACTGGAATGCAATGCAATGCAATGGACTGGAATTGAATGCAATAGATAGGAATGGAATCAACTCGAGTGGAAAGGAATGGAATGCAATGGAATGGAATGGAATAGAATGCATGTATATTGAAAGGATCCATAAATAATGGAATGGAATGGAATGGA
>NT_187420.1:87559-100274 GCF_000001405.40 Homo sapiens
AATGGAATGGAATAGAATGGAATGGAATCAACTCGAGTGGAATGGAATAGAATGGAATGGAATCGAATGGAAGGCATTTGAATTGAATGTATCCAAAAAGTATGGAATGGGAAAGAATGGAATGGAATGAAGTGTCCTCGAATACAGTAGAATGGAATGGAATCAACTAGAGTGGAATGGAATGGAATGGAATGCAACAGAATGGACTGTAATCAACTCGAATGAAATGGAATGGAATGGAATGGAATGGAATGGAATGGAATGGAATGCAAGAGAATGGAATGGAATCAACTCGAATGGAATGGAATGGAATGCAATAGAGTGGAATGGAATCAACTCGAGTGGAATGGAATATAATGGAATGGAATAAAATGGAATGCAATACAATGGAATAGAATGGAATAAACTCGAGTCGAATTGGAAGGAATGGAATGGAATGGAATAGAATGGAAGGGAATCGAATGTATTTGCATTGAATGGACTTGAAAAGAATGGAATGGAAAGGAATGGAATGGTATGAAGTGGCCTCGAATGCAATAGAATGGAATGGAAACAACTCGAGTGGAAAGGAATGGAATGGAATGGAATGGAAGGGAATGGAATGGAATGGAATGGAATGGAATGGAATGGAATCCACTCGAGTGGAATGGAATGGAGTGGAATGGAATGGAATGTTTTGGAATGGAATTGAATGTAATAGAATGGAATGGAATAAACTCGAGAGAAATGGAATGAAATGTAATGTAAAGGAATAGAATTGAGTGCAAGAGAATGGAATGGAATCAACTCTGGTGGAATCGAATTGAATGGAATGTAATATAATGTAATTAATGGAATGGAGTGGAATGGAATGGACTGGAATGCAATTGAATGGAATGTAATCAACTCGATTGGAATGGAATGGAATGGAATGGAATGGAATGAAGTGGCCTTGAATGCAATAGAATGGAATGGAATCAACTCGAGTGGAATACAACGGAAAGTAATGGAATGGAATGGAATGGAATGAAATAGAATGGAACGGAATGGAATGACATGAACTGGCCTCGAATTCAATAGAATTGAATGGAATCAAAACGAGTGGAATGGAATGGAATGGATTGGAATGGAATAGAATGGAATGGAACCAACTCGAGTGGAATGGAATGGAATGGAATGACATGCAATGGAATGGAAAGGAATGGAATGGAATGGAATGGAATGGAATGGAATGCAATGGAATGGACTGGAATGGAATGCAATGGAATGGACTGGAATTGAATGCAATAGAAAGGAATGGAATCAACTCGAGTGGAAAGCAATGGAATGGAATGGAATGGAATCAACCGGAGTGGAATGGAATGGAATGGAATGGAATGCAATAGAATGGAATGGAATGTAATGGAATGCAATAGAGTGGAATGGAATGGAATGGAATGGAAATTAATGGAATGCAATAGAATGGAATGGAATCAACAGGAGTTGAATGGAATGGAATGGAATGGAATGGAAAGCAATAGAATGGAATGGAATCAACTCGAGTGGAATCGAATGGAATGGAATCTAATATAATGTAATTAATGGAATGGAGTGGAATTGAATGGAATGGATTGCAATTGAATAGAATGTAAACAACTCGATTGGAATGGAATGGAATGGAATGGGATGGAATGGATTGGGATGGAATGGAATGGAATTGGATGGAATGGAAAGGAATGGAATGGAATGGAGTGGAATGAAGTGGCCTTCAATGCAATAGAATGGAATAGAATCAACTCGAGTGGAATACAATGGAAAGTAATGGAATGGAATGGAATGGAATGCAATAGAATGGAATGGAATGGCATGAAGTGGCCTCGAATTCAATAGAATTGAATGGAATCAAATCGAGTGGAATGGAATGGAATGGAATGGAATAGAATGGAATGGAACAAACTCGAGTGGAATGGAATGGAATGGAATGAAATGGAATGGAATGGAAAGGAATGGATTGGAATGGAATGGAATGGAATGGAATGCAATGGAATGGACTGGAATGCAATGCAATGCAATGGACTGGAATTGAATGCAATAGATAGGAATGGAATCAACTCGAGTGGAAAGGAATGGAATGCAATGGAATGGAATGGAATAGAATGCATGTATATTGAAAGGATCCATAAATAATGGAATGGAATGGAATGGAATGGAATGGAATGAATTGGCCTTGAATACAATAGAATGGATTGTAATCCACACGAGTGGAATGGAATGCAATGGAATGGAATGGAATGGAATGGAATGGAATGGAATGCTATAGAATGGAATGGAATCAACTCGAGTGGAATGGAATGGAAAGGAATGGAATGGAATGCAATGGAATGGAATGGAATGAACCCGAGTGGTATGGAACGGAATGGATTGGTATGGAATGGAATGGAATGGAATGGAACGGAATGCAATGCTATAGAATGGAATGGAATCAACTCGAGTGGAATGGAATGGAAAGGAATGGAATGGAATGCAATAGAATGGAATGGAATGGAATCAACTTGAATGGAATGGAATGGAATGGCATGGAATGGAATGGAATGGAATCAACTGCAATGAACGGAATGGAATGGAATGGAATGCAGTAGAATTCAGAGGTATCAACTCGAGTGGAGAGAAAGGAATGGACTGGAATGGAATGGAATGGAATGGAATGGAATGCAATAGCATGGAATGGAATCAACTCGAGTGGAATGGAATGGAATGGAAAGCATTCGAATTGAATTGAGCAGAAAAGAATGCAGTGGAATGGAATGCAATGGAATGGAATGGAATGGAATCAAGTGGCCTCGAATGCAATAGAATGGAATGGAATCAACTAGCGTTGAATGGAATGAAATGGAATGGAATGGAATGAAATCAACAAGAGTGGAGTGGAATGGAATGGAACAGAATGCAATAGAATGGAATGGAATAAACTCGTGTGGAATGGAATGGAATGCAATGCAATGCAATGGAATGGAATGGAACGGAATGGAATGGAACCGAATGGAACGGAATGGAATGGAATGGAATGCATTTGAATTGAATGGACCCGAAAATAATGGAATGGAATGGAATGGAATAGAATGGAATGGAATGGAATGGAATGGAATGGAATGGAATGGAATTGGATGGAATGGAAAGAAGTGGCATTGAATGCAATAGAATCGATTGGAATCAACTCGGGTTGAATGGAGTGGAATAGAATGAAATGGAATGGAATGTTACAGAATAGAATGGAATCAAATCGAGCGGAATGGAATGGAATGGAATGGAATGCAATAGAATGGAATGGAATCAACTCGGGTGGAATGGAATTGAATGGAATGGAAAGGAATGGAATGGAATGGAATGGAATGGAATGCAATTGAATGGAATGAAATCAATTAGAGTGGAATAGAATGGAATGGAACGCATTTGAATTGAATTGACCAGAAAGGATTGGAATGGAATGGAATGGAATGGAATGGAATGGAATGGAATGGAATGGAATGAAGTGACCTCAAATGGAATAGAATGGAATGTAATCAACTCGGATTGAATGGAATGAAATGGAATGGAATGGAATGGAATGCCATCAACTCGAGTGGAATGGAATGGAACAGAATGGAATGGAATGGAATGGAATATAATTCAATAGAATGGAATGGAATCAAATGGAATGGAATGGAATGGAATGGAATAAAAAACTCCAGTGGAATGGAATGGAATGGAATGGAATGGAATGCAATAGAATGGAATGGAATCAACTTGAGTGGAATGGAATGGAATGGAATATAATGGAATGGAATGGAATGGAATATAATGGAATGGAATGGAATGAAATTGAATAGAATGGAATGGAAACAATACGAGAGGCATAGAATGGAATGGAATGGAATGCAATAGAATGGAATGGAATAAACTCGAGTGGATTGTAATGGAATGGAGTGGAATGGAAGGGAATGCAATAGAATGGAATGGATTCAACCCGAGTGGAATGGAAGGATAGCAATGGAATGGAATGGAATGGAATAGAATCAACTCGAATGCAATGGAATGGAATGGAATTGAATGGAAGGGAATGCAATAGAAAGGAATGGAATGGAATGGAACGAAGTGGCCTCGAATGCAATAGAATGGAAAGGAATCAACTCGAGTGGAATGGAATGGAATGGAGTGAAATGGAAAGGAATCAACTCGAGTGGAATGGAATGGAATGGAGTGGAATGGAATGCAATAGCATGGAATGTAATCAACTCGGGTTGAACGGAATGAAATGGAATGGAATGGAATGGAATCAACTCGAGTGGAATGGAATGGAATGGAATAGAATGCAATAGAATGGAACGGAATACACTCGAGTGGAATGGAAAGGAATGTAACGGAATGGAATGGAATGGAATGCATTCGAATTGAATGGACCTGAAAATAACGGAATGGAATGGAATGGAATGGAATGGAATGGCACGGAAAGAAGTGGCCTGGAATGCAATAGAATGGATGGGAATCAACTCGGGTTAAATGGAGTAGAATAGAATGAAATGGAATGGAATGCAACAGAATGGAATAGAATCAAATGGAGTGTAAAGGAATGGAATGGAATGGAATGGAATGGAATGGAATGGAATGGAATGGAATGGAATGGAATGCAATAGAATGGAATGGAATCAACTCAAGTGAAATGTATTGGAATGGAATGCAATGGAATGGAATGGAAAGAAGTGGCTTCAAATGCAATAGAATGGATTGGAATCAACTCGTGTTGAATGGAATGGAATAGAATGAAATGGAATGGAATGCAACAGAATGGAATGGAATCAAATCAAGTGGAATGGAATGGAATGGAATGCAATGGAATGGAATGGAATCAACTCGATTGGAATGGAATGGAATGGAATGGAATAGAATGGAATCGGATGGAATGGAATGCATTTGAATGGAATGGACCTGAAGAGATTAGATGGAATGGAATGGCATGAAGTGGCTTCGAAATAAATAGAATGGAATGGAATCATCTCTAGTGGAATGGAATGGAATGGAATGGAATGGAATGGAATGGAATGGAATAGAATGGAAAGGTATCAACTCGAGTGGAATGGAATGCAATGGAATGGAATGGAATGCAATAGAATGGAATGGAATCAACTCGAGTGGAATGGAATGGAATGTATTGGAATGGAATGGAATGGAATGGAATGGAATGCATTAGAATGAAATGGAATCAACTCGAATGGAATGGAATGGAATGGAATGGAATGGAATGCATTTTAATTGAATGGACCCGAAGAGATTGGAATGGAATGGAATGGAAATAAGTGGCTTGGAAAGCAATAGAATGGAATGGAATCATCTCTAGAGGAAAGGAATGAAATGGAATGGAATGGAATGCAATGGAATGGAATGGAATGCAATAGAATGGAATGGAATCAACTCGAGTGGAATGGAATGGAATGGAATGGAATGGAATGGAATGGAATGCAAAGGAATGGAATGGAATGGAATGGAATGCAATAGAATGGAAAAGACTCAACTCGAGTTGAATGGAATGGAATCGAATGGAAGTTAATGGTCTGAATTTGAATTGAATGGACCTGAAAAGAATGGAAGGGAATGGAATGGAATGAATTGGTCTCGAATGCAATAGATTGCAATGTAATCATCTCGAGTGGAATGAAGTGAAATGGAATGGAATGGAATGGAATGCAATAGAATGGAAAGGTATCAACTCGAGTGGAATGGAATGGAATGGAATGGAATGCATTGGAAGGGAGTGGAATAGAATGGAATGCATTGGAAGGGAGTGGAATAGAATGGAATCAACTCGACTGGAATGCAATGGAATGCAATGGAATGGAATGGAATGGATTGCAATGCAGCGAAATGGAATGCGGTAGAACAGAAAGGAATGGAATGGAATGAAGGGGCCTCGAATGCAATAGAATGGAAAGGAATAAGCTCGACTGGTATGGAGTGGAATGAAATCAACTTGAGTGGAATGGAATGGAATGGAATGCAACAGAAAGGAAAGGTATCAACTCGAGTGGAATGGAATGGAATGGAATGGAATGGAATGCATTGGAAGGGAGTGGAATAGAATGGAATCAACTCGACTTGAATGCAATGGAATGCAATGCAATGGAATGGAATGGAATGGAACGGATTGCAATGCAGTGAAATGGAACGCAATAGAACAGAAAGGAATGGAATGGAATGAAGGGGCCTCGAATGCAATAGAATGGAAAGGAATAAGCTCGACTGGTATCGAATGGAATGGAATCAACTTGAGTGTAATGGAATGGAATGGAATGGAATGGAATGCAATAGAATGGAAAGGTATCAACTCGAGTGGAATGGAATGGAATGGAATTGAATGGAATGGAATGCAAAGGAATGGAATGGAATGGAATAGAATGGAAAAGAATCAACTCGAGTTGAATGGAATGGAATGGAATGGAATGGAAGTTAATGGTCTGAATTTGAATTGAATGGACCCGAAGAGAATGGAATGGAATGAATTGGTCTCGAATGCAATAGATTGCAATGTCGAGTGGAATGAAGTGAAATGGAATGGAATGGAATGGAATGCAATAGAATGGAAAGGTATCAACTCGAGTGGAATGGAATGGAATGGAATGGAATGCATTGGAAGGGAGTGGAATAGAATGGAATCAACTCGACTGGAATGCAATGGAATGCAATGGAATGGAATGGAATGGAATGGATTGGAATGGATTGCAATGCAGTGAAATGGAATGCAATAGAACAGAAAGGAATGGAATGGAATGAAGGGGCCTCGAATGAAATAGAATGGAAAGGAATCAGCTCGACTGGTATGGAATGGAATGGAATCAACTTGAGTGGAATGGAATGGATTGGAATGCAATGGAATGGAATGGAATGAAATGCATTTGAATTGAATGGACATGAAAAAATTTGAATGGAATGGAATGGAATGGAAAGAAGTGGCCTCGAATGCAATGTAGTGGAATGGACACAAATCGGTTGGAATGGAGTTGAATGGAATGGAATGGAATGGAATGGAATGGAATATAATGCAATATAATGTAATGGAATCAACTTGAGATGTATGGAATTTAATGGAATGGAATGGAATGCAATGGAAGGGAATGGAATCTACTCGAGTGGAATGGAATGGAATGGAATGGAATGGAATGGAATGGAATGGAATGGAATGGAATGCAATAGAATGGAATGGATTCAACTAGAGTGGAATGGAAAGGAACTGAATGGAATAGAATCAACTCGAGTGGAATGGAATGGAATGGAATGGAATGGAATGGAATGGAATGGAATGCAATAGAATGGAATGGAATGGAATGGAATGAAGTGGCCTCGAATGCAATAGAATGGAAAGGAATAAACTCGAGTGGAATGGAATGGAATGGAATCAACTCGAATGGAATGGAATGGAATGGAATGGAATGCAATAGAATGGAATGAAATCAATTAGAGAGGAATGGATTGGAATGGAATGGAATCTACTCGAGTGGAATGGAATGAAATGGAATGGAATGGAATGGAATGCAATAGAATGAAATGGATTCAACTAGAGTGGAATGGAAAGGAACTGAATGGAATGGAATGGAATGCCATAGAATGGAATAGAATCAACTCGAGTGGAATGGAATGGAATGGAATGGAATGGAGTGGAATGGAATGGAATGCAATAGAATGGAATGGAATGGAATGGAATGAAGTGGCCTCGAATGCAATAGAACGGAAAGGAATGAACACGAGTGGAATGGAATGGAATGGAATCAACTCGAATGGAATGGAATGGAATGGAATGGAATGCAAAAGAATGTAATGAAATCAATTAGAGAGGAATGGATTGGAATGGAATGGAATTGAATGGAATGAGGTGGCCTCAAATGCAATAGAATGGAATGGAATCTTCTTGAGTGGAATGGAATGGAATGAAATGGAATGGAATGAAATAGAATGGAATGGAATGCAGGAGAATTGACTTGTATCAAATCGAGTGGAATGGAAAAGAATGGAATGGAATGGAATGGAATGGAATGGAATGGAATGGAATGCAATAGAATGGAATGGAATCAACTCGAGTGGAATGGAATGGAATGGAAAGCATTTGAATTGTATTGTTCCGAAAAGAATGGAATGGAATGGAATGGAATGGAATGAAGTGGCCTCGAATGCAATAGAATGGAATGGAATCAACTCGGGTAGAATGGAATGAAATGGAATGGAATGGAATAGAATCAACTCGAGTGGAATGGAATGGAATGGAATATAATGCAAGAGAATGGAATGGAATAAACTCGAGCAGAATGGAATGGAATGGAATGGAATGGAATGGAATGGAAAGAAGTGGCCTCGAATGCAATAGAATGGATTGGAATCAACTCGGGTTGAATGGAGTGGAATAGAATGAAATGGAATGGAATGCAACAGAATGAAACGTAATCAAATCGAGCGTAATGGAATAGAATGGAATGGAATGGAATGGAATGCAATAGAATGATATGGAATCAACTCGATTGGAATGGAATGGAATGGAATGGAATGGAATGGAATGGAAAAGAATGGAATGGAATGGAATGTAAAAGAATGGAATGGAATGGAATGCAATAGAATGGAATGGAATCAAAACGATTGGAATGAAATTTAATGGAATGGAATGGAATGCAATGCAATGGAATGGAATGGAACGGAATGGAATGGAATGCCGTAGAATGAAATGGAATCAACTCGAATGGAATGGTATGGAATGGATTGGAATGGAATGGGATGGAGTGGAATGGAATGCATTTGAATTGAATGGACCCGAAGAGATTGGAATGGAATGGAATGGAATGAAGTGGCTTCGAAAGCAATAGAATGGAATGGAATCATATCTAGTGGAATGGAATGGAATGGAATGGAATCGAATGGAATGGAATGGAATGGCATGGAATGGAATGGAATGGAATGCAAAGGAATGGAATGGTATCTGGAGTGGAATGGAATGGAATGGAAAGGAATGGCATGGAATGCAATAGATTGGAATGGAATCATCTCGAGTGGTATGGCATGGAATGCAATGGAATGGAAAGGAATGGAATGGAACGGAATGGAATGGAATGCAATAGAATGGAATGGAATCAACTCAAGTAAAATGGAATGGAATGGAATGGAATGGAATGGAATGGAATGGAATGGAATGGAATGCATTAGAATTGAATGGACACGAAAAGAATGGATTGGAATGGAATGGAATGAAGTAGCCTCGAGTGCAATGATATGGAATGGCATGAACTCGAGTGGAATGGAGTGAAAAAGGTGAAAAAGGAAATATCTTCACACAAAAACTAGACAGAAGCATTCTCAGAATCTTCCTTTTGATGTGTGCATTCACCTCACAGAGTTGAACTTTTCTTTTGATAGAGCAGTTTTGAAACACTCTCTTTGTAGGATCTGCAACTGGACATTTGGAGCCCTTTGGGTCCTATAGTGAAAAACGAAGTATCTTCACATGAAAACTAGACAGAACCATTCTCACAAACTTCTTTGTGATGTGTGCATTCAAGACACGGATCTGAACATTTCTTTTCATTGAGATGTTTTGAAACACTCTTTTTGAAGAATTTGCAAGTGCATATTTGGACCGCTTTGAGACCTTCGTTAGAAATGTGATATCTTCACAAAAAATATATAGAAGCATTCTCAGAAACTTCTTTTTGATATGTGCATTCAACTCACAGACTTGAACCGTTCTTTTGATAGAGCAGTTTTGAAACACTCTTTTTACAATCTGCAAGTGGACATTTGGATTGCTTTGAGGCCTATGGTGAAAAAGGAAATATCTTCACATAAAAACTAGACAGAAGCATTCTCAGAATCTTCTTTGTGTTTTTTGCTTTCAACTCAGAGAGGTGAACATTCCTTTTCATTGAGCAGTTTTGAAAAACACTTTTTGTAGAATTTGCAAGTGGATATTTGTACAGCTTTGAAGCCTTCTTTGGAAACGGGACATCTTCAGAAAAACTAGACAGAAGCATTCTCAGAAACTACTTTGTGATGTGCGCATTCAACTCACAGAGCTGAACCCTTCTTTTGATAGAGCAGTTTAGAAACACTCTTTTTGATGTATCTGCAAGTCGACACTTGGAGTGCTTTGAGGCCTATGGTGAAGAAGGAAATATCTTCTCATAAAAACTACACAGAGGCATTCTCAGAAAATTATTTGTGATGAGTACTTTCAACTCACAGAGTTCAACCTTTCTTTTGATAGAGCAGTTTTGAAACCCTCTTTTTGTAGAATCTGCAAGGGGACATTTGGAGTGCTTTGAGGGCTATGGTGAAAAAGGAAATATGTTGACATAACAACTACACAGAAGCATTCTGAGAAATTTCTTGTGTTGTTCACTTTCAACTAACAGAGTTGAACATCCGTTTTCATAAAGCAGTTTTGAAACACTTTTTTTGTCGAATTTGCAAGTGTATATTTGGACCAATATGAGGACTTCGTTGGAAAAGGGATATCTTCACAAAAACTAGACAGAAGCATTCCCATTAACTTCTTTGTGGGGTGTGGATTCAACTCAAAAGGTTGAACCTTTCTTTTGATAGAGCAGTTTTGAAACACTCTTTTTGTAGAATCTGCATGTGGACATTTGAAGCGCTTTGAAGCCTATGGTGAAAAAGGAAACATCTTCACATTAAAACTACACAGAAGGATTCTCAGAAAATTCTTTGTGATGTTTGCTTTCAACTCACAAGTTGAACATTGCTTTTCATAGAGCAGTTTTGAAACACTCTTTTTGTAGAATTTGCAATTGAATATTTGGACGGCTTTGAGACCTTCGTTGGAAAAGGAATATCTTCACATAAAAACTAGAAAGAGGCATTGCCAGAAACTTATTTGGGATGTGTGCATTCAACTCAAAGTTTTGAACCTTTCTTTTGATAGAGAAGTTTTGAAACACTCTTTTTTTTAGAATCTGCAAGTGGACATTTGAGTGCTTTGAGGCTAATGGTGAAAAAGGAAATATCTTCACATAAAAACTAGACAGAAGCATTCTCAGAAACTTCTTTGTGCTGTGTGCATTCAACTCACAGAGTTGAACCTTTCTTTTGATAGAGTAGTTTTGAAACAATCTTTTTGAAATATCTGCAACTGGACATTTGGAGCACTTTGAGGCCTATGGTGAAAAAGGAAATATCTTTACCTAAAAACTACACAGAAGCATTCTCAGAAACTTCTTTGTGTTGGTTGCATTCAACTCACAGAGTTGAACATTCCTTTTCATACAGCAGTTTTGAAGCACTCTTTTTGTAGAATTTACAAGTGGGTATTTTGACTACTTTGAGGCATTCTTGGGAATTGGGATATCTTCGCAAAAACTAGACAGAAGCATTCTCAGAAACTTCTTTGTGATGTGTGCATTCAACTATCAGAGTTAAACCGTTCTTCTGATAGTGCAGTTTGGAAACATTCTTTTTGTAGTATCTGCAAGTGGACATTTGGTGCACTTTGAGGCCTGAAGTGAAAAAGGAAATATCTTCACGTATAAACTAGACAGAAGCATTCTCAGAGTCTTCCTTGTGATGTATGCATTCAACTCACAGAGTTGAGCCTTTCTTTTGATAGGGCAATTTTGAAACACATTTTTTGTAGAATCTGCAAGTGGACATTTGGAATGCTTTGAATCCTATGGTGAAAAAGGAAATATCTTCACATAAAAACTACCCAGAAGCATTCTCAGGAACTTCTTTGTGATGTGTGCATTCAACTCACAGAATTAAACCTTTCTTTTGATAGAGCAGTTTTGAAACACTCTTTTTGTAGAATCCGCAAGTGGACGTTTGGAGCTCTTTGATACCTACAGTGAAAAAGGAAATATCTTCACATAAAAACTTCACAGAAGCATTCTCAAAAACATTTTTCAGATGTGTGCATTAAACTCAGAGAGTTCAACTTGTCTTTTCATACAGCAGTTTTGAAACACTTTTTTTGTAGAATCTGAAAGTGAACATTTGGAGCGCTTTGAAGCCTATGGTGAAAAAGGAAATATCTTCACATAAAAACTAAACAGAAGCATTCTCAGTAACTTCTTTGTGACGTTTGCTTTCAACTCACAGAGTTGAACATTCCTTTTCATTGAGCAGTTTTGAAACACTCTTTTTGAAGAATTTGCAAGTGGATATTTGGACGGCTTTGAGGCCTTCATTGGAAAAGGAATATCTTCATTTAAAAACTAGACAGAAGCATTCCCAGAAACTCCTTTGTGATGTGTGCGTTCATCTCAAAGAGTTGAACCTTGCTTTTGATAGAGCAGTTTTGAAACATTCCTTTTGTAGAATCTGCAAGTGGACATTTGGAGCTCCTTGAGGCCTAAGGTGTAAAAGGAAATATCTTCACATAAAAACTAGACAGAAGCATTCTCACAAACTTCTTTGTGATGTGCGCATTCAACCCACAGAATTCAACCTTTCTTTTGATAGAGCAATTTTGAAACACTCTTTTTAAACTATTTGCAAGTGGACAATTGGAGTGCTTTGAAGCCTATGGTGAAAAAGAAAATATTTTCACATAAAAACTAGACAGAAGCATTCTCAGAAACTTCTTTGTGATGTGTACATTCACCTCACAGAGTTGAAATTTTCTTTCAATAGAGCAGTTTTGAAACACTCTTTTTGTAGAATGTGTAAGTGGATATTTGGACCGCTTTGAGGAAGTCATTGGAAACAGGATATCTTCACATAAAAAGTGGATGGA